>NT_167246.2:3552121-3720796 GCF_000001405.40 Homo sapiens
GGCCAGGCTGGTCTCGAACTCCTGACCTCAGGTGATCTGCCTGCCTTGGCCTCCCAAAGTGCTAGGATTACAGGCAGGAGCCACCGCGCCTGGCCTGCCAGGCTTTCTTAATATGCCCTACCACCATGAAACTTATATTGGGGGGGAGACTCAGATAGGGGCCAATGGGGGCAAGTTTGAGCCTTGCCAGGTTGATACTTGGGCACTGAGCAGAGTGACTAGTGTCTGTGTTTTGACATGTGTGTATAACTCCTGTTGGAATGGGAAATGTTAATTTAGTTCCCCCACACAACCTGTTGGGCTGCCTCTTGCAAAACTGGGGCCTTTTGCCTGTGGTTCCATGAAAAGAAAAGGAATGTTTTTCTTTTGTAACGTGGCTTGGCCCCCACAGCTACGGTGCAGCAAGCAGGGTCATCAAAAGCCACTCTGCTCTTCTGGAAGCAGCTGAGAAAGGGAAGCCATAAACCTGACAAGCTGGTAAAAAGCTAATTTCTTACCAGCTAGCCTCTGGCCTTTCTCTCTCTGTGCAAATGAGTTGAGTGAACAATAAAAGTCACTGTTTGTCTCCTCTGCAAAGTTTTGATTAATAGGGAAGAAGATTTGTGTGACTAGTCTTAGGTTGTAGTGAATCTTGTGTACTTTTGCTACTTTGAACTATAAATATTTGTATTGTTTGGCCCCTTCTCAGAAATCACCTTTTTTGCCATCTTCCTTTGTCTTTGCCTTTTTGTGTCGTTCTGTCATGGAGAAGGATACCATAGGATAGAACACAGGCCTAGGATCCCTGTAAGCCTGCTGTTCAAGCCAGCCCTGCAGACTGGTCGGTTACAAACTTTGCTGCAGGTCCTTGGAACAAAAACTGGATGAGATTTCCCTTGTCTTGTTTTATGTGGTTGAGAGCTTGACTTTGTAACCATGTAGGGGTACTCTCTCTCTTGATCTCTGCCATCTGGAGGGTGGAAATTCTTGGGTTCAAGTCAGGTGGCTGGTCTGAGAGGACTGGGAGTCTGAGACACATTAGCATACTCTTCGTCCTGAATGTGTTGAGCCCTTAGGTGAGTTTTGTCTTAAAACGTCCCATCTCTGCTGGTTGGATTTATTAGGACAAAAAAACAGTCCTATCTCTACAGGACTTTTGTTGTATTTTGCTATCTTAAACCCATTTCCAAGAGGGAATACTTGGGGATGCCTCCTCTAGGAATACTTCTTGCTGCTTATATGGCAAAAACCTGGAAAATTACCATCTGCAATTTAAAAAAGGTGTTTGAGTCTCTATTGGAACTAAGTACACCATTGAAAGAAAAAGGATTTTAGAGCTCTCTTATCTAAAACAATTGAAGGAAGGTTAAACAGTAGTGTCGTGGGTAGCCTTAAAAATTCTCTTGAGCAGTTAAAATCATTCGCAAGCTTGAAAATGACTGCTCTAGATTCTTTCTGGGAAGAGCACTGGCAACCACCCTATGCTGTAGCACAGTAGCTAAATCTCTGCCCTTTCACTATGGTGGCCTGGGATCACTTCCCAGCTTAGGGAATGCGTCCTTTCTGGTTTTGTATTTGTGGGACTTTTTGCCATTCATTGATGGACAGCTTCTGATTTCCTGTCTTGAATTTTCCTTGCTCTGAGATACCTTTGGGGTGATTCTAGATCTTGTAAAAAACTGCTTGGCATCTCTTTGGAGATACCTTGTGCATCTGTGGTTAAGTCATAACCCTAGTTAAGGCTCATTGGTTTCAGGTGGGAGGTTATCCTTGGTAGAGAGTTCAAAAGCCAGAAATATCAGCTGTTTGTTCCAGCTAAAAACTGGTAATAAGAGATCTGAAAGAATTTTCTTCAAGAGCTCTATAGTTAAAAGTCAACTTAATTAAAACTGATTTAGAATATATGTGTACAGATATTGTTTTAAAGCCTCTGCTCTCTCTCTGTAAAAACTTCTTAAGCAACTGAATTCTGTCTGCTTAAATTTTAATCTTTGTATGTAAAAGCTAGGAAACAAATATACTTTTAGAGATGGCTATTGACAGTTGTTTACAGTGAATAGTTATCACTACAGGGTGGTACTGCTTTTTTTTGCACATTTAGATAAGAAAAGCATGCTTTGGGGCACCTAGAAGGTATGGAATGAGGGCTAAGACTCCCATGGAGCATTAAGTGATTACAGAATAGGCTGATTGCTATAGGGTTGCCCACCAGCCTCAGGGGAATGTCCTTGCAGTGAAGTGCACCGTAAAAGCATTGCACTATCTTGTCCTGTGGTGTTCTCCTCTTTTGAGGACCCAGGATTCAGTGTAAAAGTTGGATCCTTAACTTTGGAGATCTGTTTTGCCTTCCAGCTGTGCCTGCTTATTAGGCCATAGAAACTGCATGCTTTCCTGGCCCTGTTCCTTAAAGGGCTCCACCCTAAAGCCAGTAATTCAATTAAGAAACTAACATCTTTAAAAAAATTTCAATGGGCAAGTGTGTCTGTTTTCCTAACCATCTTTTTTCTTTTTCTTCTTTTGAGACAGGGTCTTGCTCTATCACCCAGGCTGGAATACAGTGGTGAGAACATAGCTTACTGCAGCCTTGACCTCCTGGGCTCAAGTGATCCTCCCAGCTCAGCCTCCCCAGCAGCTGAGACCACTACGCCCAGCTAATTTTTGTATGTTTTTGTAGAGATGGGGTCTTGCCATGTTGCCCAGGCTGGTCTTGAGCTCTTGGGCTCAAGTAATCCTCCTGCCTTGACCTCTCTAAGTGCTGGGATTACAGGCATGAGCCACCACACACAGCTTCCTGGCCATCTTAACTGAACTTTTACTCATACCATTTTTCCTTGGTTTAAATAAAATATGAATTTTCTATTTCATTTCACTTAAGAATTGTGCCTTTAGAAATGCAGATTTGGAGTGGCATAGCTGACAATTATTTAGGGCAGGGAACAGGTAATCAGGAGAAGGTCCAAAATGAGGAAGAGAAACTTTAAAAACTGGCACATGAAGAATCTTACAAATCTATAAAATCTGCTTCTGTGTGTTTGTATGTCTGTGTGTTTATACATGTCATGTGTTTGTGATATTTTCACTACCAAAATATATGAAAAAGCTGTAATTAATGGCTTTTAGAAAAATAAGCACTTAAATATTTTATCAGAGAAATATATATATATACATATATATTTTTTAATACAGAGTCTCGCTCTGTTGTCAAGCTGGAGTGCAGTGGCGCAATCTCGGCTCACTGCAACCTCCACTTCCCGGGTTCAAACAATTCTCCTGTCTCAGCCTCCTGAGTAGCTGAGACTACAGGTACACGCCACCATGCCCAGCTAATTTTTGTATTTTTAGTAGGGCCAGGGTTTCACCTTGTTGGCCAGGATGGTCTTGATCTCTTGACCTCGTGATCCGCCCACCTCGGCCTTCCAAAGTGCTGGGATTATAGGTGTAAGCCACTGTGCCAGGCCGAGAAATAGAAATTTTAAGGCCTTTTAGTTCATGTGACTTCAGTGATCTTTGGTAAACAAAGATGGTTTTAAAGATTATTAATAAAATCAAATAACATCTTCAAAATGTATGCATTTGGTCTAAATTAGTCAAAGGTTTTGCAAGGCTACATCAAGGATGCAGTTATATTATTGGGCCTAAGCCATAGGGTGAAAGATATGGCCCAGGTAGAGAGTGAGAGTGAAAAGAGGTCAGAACCTTGGGGACATCATCACTTAAGGAAGAGGAGCTTCCCAGGGACAATGAGGACCACTACATGGGAGGCAGGAGGCTTCAAGGCACAGGATAGTTTGAATCATAAAAGGCTTCCTACCTCCAGGAAAAGGGAAGAGCAGTGTAGTTAATATTTAGATTTACTTTGCATTGCATTTAATGGAAAATAAAGGGGAAAAATTGTATCTTGTTAGTCCTATATCATCTGTGCTGTGGTTAGAAAGATTAAAATAATAAGTCTTTTCAAGAAGTGGGGGGATAGCCCTAATTTTGGCAGGCCATAAGACATGTAGTGTCTTCTAGAACTAGGGGAAGAATTAAGGCCAACCAGCATCAAGAAAAATAAGCACCTTGTTTACTGGGTTTAGTATCTGAGTCATTTTGATGCTTTAGTTGGAAAAGAAACCAAATTGAAAAGTGCAATCGATGGCGAGGAAGTAAAGAGTATGGACATGATTCCTCTGAAAAGCTTGGTTATAAAGAAAAGGTGCAGGCCGGGTGTGGTGGCTCACGTCTGTAATCCCAGCATTTTGGGAGGCTGAGGTGGGCGGATCAACGAGGGCAGGAGTTTGAGACCAGCCTGACCAACATGGTGAATCCCCGTCTCTACTAAAAATACAAAAAATTAGCTGGGCATGGTGGCACGTGCCTATAATTCTAGCTACTCAGTAGGCTGAGGCAGGAGAATTGCTTGATTCTGAGAGGCGGAGGTTGCAGTGAGCTTAGATCGCACCATTGCACTCCAGCCTGGGTGACAGAGCAAGACTGTCTCCAAAAACAAACAAACAAAAAAAAAAAGGTGAGAATAATAGGATATTTTGAAAGTTTTTTTTTTCTTTTTTGAAGATTGGAGAGTCTTGACTGCATTCATATGTGTTTGAGGGGTAAGGTATGGGCATGGGAAATAGGAAAGAGGTTGAAGATGAAGTATGGACTTCTGGGAGACAGGAGATGATGGAATCTAGAGCAGGATACTCAAAGGATGATCCGCAAATGGGTGGCACTGGCATCACCTGGAAGCTTGTTAGCAATACAAAATTGTTAGACTTCATCACAGATACAGTGAATTAGAATCTGTGGGTGTAGGGCTTTAGCAATCACCAGGTGATTTGGATGCATGCTCAAGTTTGAAAATCACTTGGCTAGAGCACAGGTGAAGGGAAAAACTTTGTATGGAAGCAGGAATGCTACTTCCACTGAGATATGAGAGAAGGATGTGAGGATAGATCTCTGGGGCAATTAATAGAGTTGTGAGTTGATTAATTTAATTTTCTCTGTGTGTGTGTGTGTGAGAAATATTCAAAATAATAATGTCTTTTCAAGAGGTGGGGGGGATGGCCCTAATTGCAGCAGGCCATAAGACATGTAGTGTCTTCTAGAACTAGGGAAAGAATTAAGGCCAACAGCATCAAGAAAAATAAGACCTTTGTTTACTGGGTTTAGTACCTGAGTTATAATACAAAATTGTTAGACTTTATCCCAGATACAGTGAATTAGTATCTGTGAGAGTGGGGCTTTAGGAATGTACCAGGTGATTTTGATGCATGCTTAAGTTTGAGAATCACTTGGCTAGAGCACAGGTGAAGGGAGAAAATTTGTATGGAAAATCTGTATGGAAGCAGGAATGCCACTTCCACTGAGATATGAGATAAGAATGTAAGGTATGATCCTCTGCTGAGAATGAGGACTAGGAAGTGGTTTAAGAATATGCCTGAAGGTCTGCAAAAGCTGCCTTGGTCAATAGAAGGACATGCTTAAGTGAGCATGTTGGAGGCTCAGAGGAACATGGAGCTGAAGAATTGGGAGTCCAACATGCAGACTTTTTAATCTTCTGACAACTGAGAGGGCAGAGTTAATTTGATCTAGTAAGGGGATGTTTGAATTGTGGGTGCAACTGAATTGACTGATCATGGTTTAGGCTAGAAAGTTTCAGGTAATGTAGTCGGTAAGGGAAGGAAGCTGATTGACTGGAAACAAAAGGGGGAAGTGCCTGAAGGTACTAGTGAGGTCAAAGAAGAAAGGCAGTGGGAACTCTAGAGCACTAGAGCTGCAAAGATATTGGGTTTTGGTTGGAGAGTGAGATGCTGATGTGTAAGGTTTCAGAAGGGACCTCTTAGTCTCATTAAAATGCAAAGAAAGTATCCAGTAACAAAGGCAGAGTTCAAAACAAGGAAGAACTTGGAAGAACAGAGACAATTCAGAAGAGACTTTAAAACACAACTATAATCAATGAGAAATAAAAGCAGGTATCACATCTATGAAAGAACAAGATACTTAAACAAGGGAAGGATTAACAAGTAAACAGCTCCTGAAAACTTAAAATATGAGAGCTCAGAATAAGTATTTAATAAAGGTTTGGGAAGGTAAAGGAGAAGAAATATCCCAGCAAGTATAACAAAAACATAAAAACATAGGCAATAGGAAAAGCAAAGATGTGAAAATAGAGGATTGAGTTTATATCAGTTACTTCATTAAACTTTCCTATTATTTATAGTAATTTGTCTTTAGATTAATTTGTCTTTAGATTCTATGGTGTAATCATGTCCTCTGTAAATGTTGACAGTTTTATGTCTTCCTTTCCAATCTTTTGGTTTCTTTTTCTTATCTCATTATGCTGGTAATGACCAAAATACAATGTTGAATAAAAGTGATGATAGTAGTCTCCTTGTCTTCATAATTTTAATGAGAATGCATCCCAACTTTCTCTTTTTGGAAGATGTGTTTCAGAATAAAAAAAAATAGATACCCTTTATCAGGTTAAAGAAGTTCTCTTCTATTCCTGGTTTGTTTATTTATTTATTTTATTTATTTATTTGAGATGGAGTTTTGCTCTTGTTGCCTAGGCTGGAGTGCAATGGCATGATCTCGGCTCACTGCAACGTCTGCCTGCTGGGTTCAAGAGATTCTCCTGCCTCAGCCTCCCAAGTAGCTGGGATTACAGGCGGGCATCACCATGCCCAGCTAATTTTGTATTTTTAGTAGAGATGGGGGTTTCACCATGTTGGCCAGGCTGATCTTGAACTCCTGACCTCTGGTGATCAGCCCACCTCAGCCTCCCAAAGTGCTGGGATTGCAGGTGTGAGCCACTGCACCTGGCCTTATTCCTGGTTTATTAAT
Organism: Homo sapiens; assembly: GCF_000001405.40. NCBI lineage: Eukaryota > Metazoa > Chordata > Mammalia > Primates > Hominidae > Homo > Homo sapiens. The sequence goes on from NT_167246.2 coordinate 3,558,929, forward strand.
TGTTTTTTTCTTTAAGCCAGGGATGAGCAAACTACCACCCAATGGGCCAAATCCAGTCTGCCACTTGTTTTTTTTTTTTTTTTTGTATAGCCCATGAGCTAAGAATGATTTTTACATTTCATGTAAAATGTCACATAATATTTTGTGACATGTGAAAATTATATGAAATTCAAATTTAAGTCTCCATAAGTAAAGCTTTATTGGAACATAGCCATGTTCTTCATTCATTTATGTATTGTCTATGACTGCTTTTGTGCTATAAAGGCAGAGGTGAGTAGTTGTGATGGAGCCCATAGGGACCTACAAAGCCAAAGTAAACATTTGGCCCTTTATAGAAAAAGTTTACTGATTCTTGTTTTAAGTCAAAAATGGTATTGGGGGAAAGTTAGGTTCATGGATGTGCAGACCAAGAATAAGGGAAAGATCTCAGCCCTAACTCCTTCTTATACAGATTTTCAATAGGTCCATCTTTTTCAGGTTTACCCTCTTACCCTAGACTTTCTTAGTTTTTAGCTTTCCATTTCTAGAGATTTAGGGCTCTGTCTAAACAGTGGTTTTCCTTCTGTGTAGCATTTCTTTGGATGCACAATAGGTTCCACTTTCATCAGCTCCGCTTTTCACCAGTTTTCCAGAAAAGCATTACAGTCTGTTGCTGTTCCCTGTTCCCCTTGTCTGCCTGATTATTTATTTTCAGAGTCATTTTAGCAGTGTTTGGGGAGGGAGTTATACCTTTTATTCCTCAGGTATCACCACTCTTCTCTTCCTACCGCGAAACAGCACAGTGAAAGGGAGGAGATGGAGTGAAGAGACCGAGGGCAGGGAGAGGGAGGGGGGTGTGACGGGGTGGGGAAGTGAGGAGGAAGAGGGGGAAGAGCTACTGGGGAGGAGGAAGATGGGGGAGGAAGAGGATGATGGGGTGGGGTGGTTCAGGGAGTGAATAGGCCGGGTTGGGTGAGATGAGGCTGGGTGTATGTGCTTGAGAAGTCCGGGAGTGCGGAGGGGCAGAAAGGTAGACAGTGCGTGCGGGAAGAGGGGATGGGGGTGGGGAGGCGAGGGCGGTCAGTGGGTTGAGAGGAGTGGGGAGAAGATTTAGGGCGAGAGAGGTGCCATCGTGCTGGGGAAGGCGGGACTAGGAGAGGTAAAAGAATGGGGAGAGAAATGGGAGGGAGAGAAGGAAGCTGAGGGAGATTTGAGGAGAGAAGGCGCTTGAGGGGGAACCAGGAGGGGAGAAGGCTTGTGAGGGGGAAATGTGAGAGGAGAAGGGGCGCGAGGGGGAACCGCGAGGGGAGAAGGGGCGCGAGGGGGAACAGCGAGGGGAGAAGGGGTCTCGCCTCCTGGCCGCGCCGCCCTAGGTGTCGCCGCCTGGCGGTTACGAGGAGGCCGCCTCCTGCTTGCCGGCCTGGCGGTCCTACTCAACACCGCAAGATTTCAAAAGGGAAATTCCTCCAGGGCTGAGTCACAGGGAAGAAAGCGATTTCCTCCGCCTCTTCCAAAGCGGTAGGTTTCCTTCCTCCGCCTGCCTCTTAAATAACGTGGTATCTCGCAGTTTGGCTGAAACCTGAACTAAATGCAATGCTTTTTTGACTTTTACTTTCTCCCAGAACAACAGTTGTGATATGATCTGTTTTGGGGCCCTTCCTGCGCTCCGCCCTGGGCCAGAGTATGTAAAGCTCGTGGGTCTCTGTGTGTGTCTGAGCAGCTGCTCTGCCAAGACTCCACACAGCTGTGTGTGTGTCGGACCCAAGGCCTTGGTGGCATGGGCTCATGAGGGAATCTCCTGATCCACCAGTCGCAAAGATCCATGGGAGAAGCATGGTTTCCTGAGGTCGCACCATCACTCACTTCTTCCCTTGGCTGGGAGTGGGGGTTCCTTTGGCTCTGTGTCGCTCCCAGGGGGGCTGTCGCCCCATCCAGCTTTTCTTTGTTCTCTGTGGGTCGAGTTGTTTTCCTGATGAGTCCCAATGCAAGTACCTGGATATTTCAGTTGAAGATGCTGTATTCACTTGCCTCTTTTGTTCCTCTCTGTGAGTGCTGTGGACCATAGCTGTTTCTAATCAGCCATCTTGGCCTGGCAATCTACAGTAGTAAATGTTAACATTGGATAGTGTGATTCTTCCTACTTTACTATTCTTTTTAAATATTGTTTTAGCAATTTTTGTTCTTTTGACTTTACATATAGATTTTAGGACCAGTTTGTCTATATCTACAAAAGGAAGCTTTTGATAGGAAATGTGTTAAACCTATAGACCGATTTGAAGAGAATTGACATCTTTGTTGTCTTCCAGTTAAATGACACTGCATGTCTCTCCGTTTGTTTAGATCTATTTTTATTTTTTCATCAGCATTTTGTAGTTTTCAGCCTGCTGATTCTGTACATATTTTGTTAGATTTATACTTAAATATTTAATTTTCTTTGGAGTGGTTGTAAATAGTACTGTGCTTCAGTTTTGGCTTCCTACTTTTTATTGCTAGCATAGAGGAATACAATTGATTACTATTCTGTAACATTGCTAAAAATGTGTTTGAAGTTTCCTCGGAGTATTATCTCTGGATATAAGCTTCTGGGCTGATAGGTCTTATTTTTTAGCAGTTGAAAAATGTTGTGCTACTTTCTTCCTGTTTTGGGTTTTTTGGTGAGAAATCCACTGTAATTCTAATTGTTGTTCTCCTATAAATAATGCTTTTTCTTTCAGCATGTTTTCAAGATTTTTTTAAGTTTTCAGAAATTTGATTATGATGTATCTGAGCATAGATTTCTTTGAGTTTATTATATTAGAAGTTGCTTTAGCTTTTTGAATTACACATTTATGTCTTTCATTAAGTTTGAGAAGTCTTCAATCATTATTTTGTTAAAAAGTTTTTTCAGACCAGCCTGGGCAACATGACAAAACACTGTCTCTACAAAAAAAATAAAAAAAATTAGCTGGTCATGGTGGCATGTGTCAGTGGTCCCAGCTACTCGGGAGGCTAAGGCAGGAGGATCACCTAAGCCTGGGAGTTTGAGGCTGCAGTGAGCTGTGATCATGCCACCGCACTCCAGCCTGTGTAACAGAGTGAGAGCCTGTCTCAATTTTTTTTTTTTTTTAGCACCCTATGCCGTCTCCTTCTGTAATTCCAGTCACAGGAATGTTAGAGACTTTGTTATTGTCCCACAGATACTTGTTGCTCTGTTCGTTTTTTCTTTTCTTTCTTTCTTTTTTTTTTTTTATTATACTTTAAGTTCTGGGTTACATGTGCAGAATGTACATTTTTCTTACATAGGTATACATGTGCCCTGGTGGTTTGTTGCACCCATCAACCTGTCACCTATATTAGGTATTTCTCCTAATGTTATCCCTCCCCTAACTCCCCACTCTCTGACAGGCCCCGGTGTGTGATGTTCCCCTCCCTGTGTCCGTATGTTCTCATTGTTCAACTCCCACTTATAAGCAAGAACATGCGGTGTTTGGTTTTCTGATCTTGTGATAGTTTGCTGAAAATGATGGTTTCCAGCTTTATCCATGTTCCTGCAAAGGACACAAACTCATCCTTTTTTATGGCTGCATAGTATTCCATGATATATACGTGCCACATTTTCTAAATCCAGTCTATCATTGATGGACATTTGGGTTGGTTCCAAGTCTTTGCTACTGTGAATAGTGCCACAATAAACATGTGTGCATGTGTCTTTACTATAGAATGATTTATAATCATTTGGGTATATGCCCAGTATTGGGATTGCTGGGTCAAATGGTATTTCCAGTTCTAGATCCTTGAGGAATCGCCACACTGTCTTCCACAGTGGTTGAACTAATTTACACTCCCACCAACAGTGTAAAAGCATTCCTATTTTTCCACAACCTCTCCAGCACCTGTTGTTTCCTGACTTTTTAATGATCGCCATTCTAACTGGTGTGAGATGGAATCTCATTGTGGTTTTGATTTGCATTTCTCTGGTGACCAGTGATGATGAGCATTTTTTTCATATGTCTGTTGGCTGCATAAATGTCTTCTTTTGAGAAGTGTCTGTTCATATCCTTTGCCCACTTTTTGATGGGTTTTTTCTTGTAAATTTAAGTTCTTTGTAGATTCTGGATATTAGCCCTTTGTCACATGGATAGACTGCAAAAATTTTCTCCCATTCTGTAGGTTGCCTGTTCACTCTGATGATACTTTCTTTTGCTGTGCAGAAGCTCTTTAGTTTAATTAGATCCCGTTTGTCAATTTTGGCTTTTGTTGCCATTGCTTTTAGTGTTTTGGACATGAAGTCTTTGCCCATGCCTCTGTCCTGAATGGTATTGCCCAGATTTTCTTCTAGGAGTTTTATGGTCCTAAGTCTTATGTTGAAGTTTTTGATCCATTTTGAGTTGATTTTTGTAAAAGGTGTAAGGAAGGGGCCCAGTTTCAGTTTTCTGCATATGGCTAGCCAGTTTTCCCAACACCATTTACTAAATTGGGAATCTTTTCCCCATTGCTTGTGTGTGTCAGGTTTGTCAAAGATCAGATGGTTGTAGCTGTGTGGTGTTATTTCTGACGCCTCCGTTCTGTTCCATTGGTCTATATATCTGTTTTGGTACCAGTACTATGCTGTTTTGGGTACTGTAGTCTTGTAGTATAGTTTGAAATCAGGTAGCATGATACCTCTAGCTTTGTTCTTCTTGCCCAGGATTGTCTTGGCTACGCAGGCTCTTTTTTGGTTCCATATGAAGTTTAAAGTAGTTTTTTTCCAATTCTGTGAAGAAAGTCAGTGGTAGCTTCATGGGAATAGCATTGAATTTATAAATTACTTTGGGCTGTGTAGCCATTTTCATGATATTGATTCTTCCTATCCATGAACATGGAATGTTTTTCCATTTGTTTGTGTCCTCTCTTATTTCCTTGAGCAGTGGTTTGTAGTTCTACTTGAAGAGGTCCTTCACATCCCTTGTAAGTTGTATTCCTAGGTATTTTATTCTCTTAGTAGCAATTGTGAATGGGAGTTCACTCATGATTTGGCTCTCTGTCTATTATTGGTGTACAGGAATGCTTGTGATTTTTGCACATTGATTTTGTATCCTGAGACTTTGCTGAAGTTGCTTATCAGCTTAAGGAGGTTTTGGGCTGAGACGATGGGGTTTTCTAAATATACAATCATGTCTTCTGCAAACAGAGAAAATTTGATTTCCTCTCTTCCTATTTGAATACTCTTTATTGCTTTCTCTTGCCTGATTGCCCTGGCCAGAACTTCCAATACTATGTTGAATAGGAGTGGTGAGAGAGGGCATCTTTGTCTTGTGCCGGTTTTCAAAGGGAATGCTTCCAGTTTTTGCCCATTCAGTATAATATTGGCTGTGGGTTTGTCATAAATAGCTCTTGTTATTTTGAGATATGTTCCGTCGATACCTAGTTTATTGAGAGTTTTTGGCATGAAGGGGTGTTGAATTTTATCAAAGGCCTTTTCCGTATCTATTGAGATAATCATGTGGTTTTTGTTATTGGTTCTGTTTATGTGATGGATTACATTTATTGATTTGCGTATGTTGAACCAGCCTCGCATCCCAGGGATGAAGCCAACTTGATCGTGGTAGATAAGCTTTTTTATGTGCTGCTGCATTCGGTTTGCCAGTATTTTATTGAGGATTTTCACATTGATGTTCATCAGGGATATTGGCCTGAAATTTTCCTTTTTTGTTGTGTCTCTGCCAGGTTTTGGTATCAGGATGATGCTGGCCTCATAAAATGAGTTAGGGAGGAGTCCCTATTTTTCTATTGTTTGGAATAGTTTCAGAAGGTATGGTACCAGTTCCTCTTTGTACCTCTGGTAGAATTCGCCTGTGAATCCATCTGCTCCTGGGGTTTTTTTTGGGGTAGTAGGCTATTAATTACTGCCTCAATTTCAGAAATTGTTATTGCTTTATTCAGGGATTCGACTTCTTCCTGGCTTAGACTTGGGAGGGTGTATGTGTCCAGGAATTTATCCATTTCTTCTAGATTTTCTAGTTTATTTGCATAGAGGTGTTTATAGTATTCTCTGATGGTAGTTTGTATTTGTATGGGATCAGTGGTGATATCCCCTATATCATTTTTTATTGCATCTATTTGATTCTTCTCTCTTTTCTTCTTTATTAGTCTGGCTAGTGGTCTATTTTGTTGATTTTTTCAAAAAATCAGCTCCTGGATTCATTGATATTTTTGAAGGGTTTTTTGTGTCTCTATCTCCTTCAGTTCTGCTCTGATCTTAGTTATTTCATGTCTTCTGCTAGCTTTTGAATTTATTTGCTGTTGCTTCTCTAGTTCTTTTAATTTCGATGTTAGGGCATCAATTTTAGAACTTTCCTGATTTCTCTTGTGGGCATTTAGTGCTATAAATTTCCCTCTAAACACCGCTTTAAATGTGTCCCAGAGATTCTGGTACATTGTGTCTTCATTTTCATTGGTTTCAAAGAACATTTTTAGTTCTGCCTTCATTTCATTATTTACCCAGTAGTCATTCAGGAACAGGTTGTTCAGTTTCCATTTATTTGTGCAGTTTTGAGTGAGTTTCTTAATCCTGAATTCTAATTTGGTTGCACTGTGGTCTGAGAGACTGTTTGTTATGGTTTCCATTATTTCGCATTTGCTGAGGAGTGTTTTACTTCTGATTATGTGGTCAATTTTAGAATAAGTGCAATGAGGTGCTGAGAAGAATGTATAGTCTGTTGATTTGAGGTGGGGAGTTCTGTAGATGTCTGTTAGGTCTGCTTGGTCCAGAGCTGAGTTCAAGTCCTGAATATCTTTATTTTCTGTCTCATTGATCTGTCTAATATTGACAGTGGGGTGTTAAAGTCTCCCACTATTATTGTTTGGGAGTCTGGGTCTCTAAGAACTTGCTTTATGAATCTGGGTGCTCCTGTATTGGGTGCATATATATTTAGGATAGTTAGCTCTTCTTGCTGCATTGTTCCCTTTACCATTATGTAATGCCCTTCTTTGTCTCTTTTGATTTTTATTGATTTAAAGTCTGTTTTATCAGAGATTAGGATTGCAACTCCTGCTTTTTTTTGCTTTCCATTTGCTTGGTAAATATTCCCCCATCCCTTTATTTTGAGCCTATGTTTGTCTTTGCACATGAGATGGGTCTTCTGAATACAGCATACTGATGGGTCTTGACTCTTTATCCAATTTGCCAGTCTGTGTCTTTTAATTGGGGCATTTAGCCCATTTACATTAAGGTTAATATTGTTATGTGTGAATTTGATCCTGTCATTATGATGCTAGCTGGTTGTTTTGCCCATTAGTTAATGCAGTTTCTTCATTGTGTCAATGTTCTTTACAATTTGGTATGTTTTTGCAGTGGCTGGTACCAGTTGTTCCTTTCCATGTTTAGTGCTTCCCTCTGGAGCTCTCGTAAGGCAGGTCTGGTGGTGACAAAATCCCTCAGCATTTGCTTGTCTGTAAAGGATTTTATTTCTCCTTCCCTTATGAAGCTTAGTGTGGCTGGATATGAAATTCTGGGTTGAAAATTCTTTTCTTTCAGAACGTTGGATATTGGCCCCCACTCTCTTCTGTCTTATAGGGTTTCTGCAGAGAGTTCGGCTGATAGTCTGATGAGCTTCCCTTTGTGGGTAACCCGACCTTTCTCTCTGGCTGCCCTTAACATTTTCTCTTTCATTTCAACCTTGGTGAATCCGATGATTATGTGTCTTGGGGTTGCTCGTCTTGAGGATTATCTTTGTGGTGTTCTCTGTATTTCCTGAATTTGAATGTTGGCCTGTGTTGCTAAGTTGGAGAAGTTCTCCTGGATAATATCCTGAAGAGTGTTTTCCAACTTGATTCCATTCTCCCCGTCACTTTGAGGTACACCAATCAAACGTAGATTTGGTCTTTTCACATAGTCCCATGTTTCTTTTTTTTTTTTTGAGATGGAGTCTCGCTCTCACTGAGGTTGGAGTGCAGTGGTGTGATCTCGGCTCACTGCAAGCTCCACCTTCTGGGTTCACGCCATTCTCCTGCCTCAGCCTCCCAAATAGCTGGGACTACAGGCGCCCACCCCCACGCCCAGCTAATTTTTTGTATTTTTAGTAGAGACGGGGTTTCACCATGTTAGCCAGGATGGTCTCGATCTCCTGACCTCGTGATCCACCCACCTCAGCCTCCCAAAGTGCTGGGATTACAGGTGTGACCCACCGCGCCCCGGCAAGTCCCATATTTCTTGGAGGCTTTGTTCGTTCCTTTTTATTCTTTTTTATCTAATCTTGTCTTCTCTCTTTATTTCATTAAGTTGATCATTAAGTTGATCTTCAATCACTGCTTCATCAGTTTGGCTATTGATACTTGTGTATTCTTCATGAAGTTTTTGTGCTTTGTTTTTCAGCTCCATTAGGTCATTTATGTTCTTCTCTACATTGGTTATTCTAGTTAATTCGATTAACCTTTTTTTAAGGTTTTTAGCTTCTTTGCATTGGCTTAGAACATGCTTCTTGAGCTTGTAGTTTTTTGTTATTACCCACCTTCTGAAGCCTACTTCTGTCAGTTCATCAAACTCATTCTCTGTCCAGTTTTGTTCCCTTGCTGGCGAAGAGTTGTGATCATTTGGAGGAGGAGAGGCATTCTGGTTTTTGGAATTTTCAACCTTTTCATGCTACTTTTTTCCCATCTTTGTGGATTTATCTACCTTTGGTCTTTGATGTTGGTGACCTTCGGATGGGGTCTTTGAGTGGACGTGCTAATCCTTTCTGTTTCTTTTCCTTCTAACAGGCCCCTTTGGTGCCAGTCTGCTGGAGTTTGCTGGAGGTCCACTCCTGACCCTGTTTGCCTGGGTATCACCAGCAGAGGCTGCAAAGCAGCAAAGATTGCTGCCTGTTCTTTCTTCTAGAAGCTTCGACCCAGTGGGGCACCTGTCAGATGCCAGCCAGAGCTCTCCTGTATCAGGTGTCTGTCGGTCCAAGCTAGAAGGTATCTCCCAGTCAGTATACATGGGGATCAGGGACCCACTTGAGGAGGCAGACTGACCCTTAGCAGAGCTTCAATACCGTGCTGGGAGGTCCACTGCTCTCTTCAGAGCCATCAGGCAGGGACGTTTAAGTCTGCTATAAGCCCCCGACTGGGGTTGCTGCCTTTTTTACAGAGATGCCCTGTCCAGAGAGGAGCAATCTGGCAGTCTGGCCACAGCAGCCTTGCTGAGCTGCAGTGAGCTCTGCCCAGTTTGAACTTCCCAGCAGCTTTGTTTATACTGTGGCCATAAAACCATCTACTCAAGCCTCAGCAATGGTGGACGTCTCTTCCACCACCAAGCTCAATCATCCCAGGTGAATCTCAGATTGCTGCTGTGCTGGCAGCAAGAATTTCAAGCCAGTGGATCTTAGTTTCCTGGGCTCCATGGGCGTGGGACCAGCCAAGCCAGACCACTTGGCTCCCTGGCTTCAGCCCCTCTTTCCAGGGGAGTGAACGGTTCTGTCTCGCTGGTGTTCCAGGCGCCACTGGGGTATGGAAAAAAGAAAAAAAGCTCCTACAGCTAGTTCAGTGTCTGCCCAATTGGCCACCCAGTTTTGTGCTTGAAACCCAGGGCCCTGGTGGGGTAGTCACTGGAGGGAATCTCCTGGTTTGTGGGTTTCGAAGACTGTGGGACAAGTGCAGTATCTGTGCTGGAGTTCCTCAGGCTCAGACCCTCATGGCTTCCCTTGGGTAGAGGGGAAAATTCCCCGACCCCTTGCACTTCCCAGGTGAGGTGATGCCCCACCCTGCTTCGGCTTGCCCTCCGTGGGCTGCACCCACTGTCCAACCAGTCCCAGTGAGATGAACCGTGTGCCTCAGTTGGAAATGCAGAAATCACCCACCTTCTGCCTCGATCTCGCTGGGAGCTGCAGACTGGTGCTGTTCCTATTCGGCCATCTTGAATCTTGCCTGTTCATTTTTAATTTTTTCTTTCAGTGTATTTTCCTCTCAGTTCAGGCTGGAAAATTTCAATTGCTCTATCTTTGAGTTCACTGATTGTTTCTTTTGTCATATTCATTCTGTTATTGAATCCATCCAGTGAGTTTTCATTTTGGTTATTTTATTTTCCAGCTATAAAATTTCCATTTGCTTCTTTCTTTCTTTTTTTTTTTAGAAATGTTCATCTTTTTATTTTAAGTTCCGGGGTACATATACAGGATGTGCAGGTTTGTTACATAGGTAAACATGTGCCATGGGTAGTGTTCATCTATAGCTCTATCAATGCTTCTTGTCTTTAAGTCTACCTTGTTTGAGAGCTATGTCAGCATTCTTTTTTTTTTTTAATTATACTTTAAGTTCTAGGATATATATGCACAATGTGCAGGTTAGTTACATGTCTATACATGTGCCATGTTGGTGTGCTGCACCCATTAACTCGTCATTTAACATTAGGTATATCTCCTAATGCTATCCCTCCCCCCTCCGCCAACCCCACAACAGGCCCTGGTGTGTGATGTTCCCTTTCCTGTGTCCATGTGTTCTCATTGTTCAATTCCCATCTATGAGTGAGAACATGTGGTGTTTGGTTTTTTGTCCTTGCGATAGTTTGCTGAGAATGATGGTTTCCAGCTTCATCCATGTCCCTACAAAGGACATGAACTCATCATTTTTTATGGCTGCATAGTATTCCATGGTGTATATGTGCCACATTTTCTTAATCCAGTCTATCATTGTTGGACATTTGGGTTGGTTCCAAGTCTTTGCTATTGTGAATAGTGCCACAATAAACATACGTGTGCATGTGTCTTTATAGCAGCACGTTTTATAATCCTTTGGGTATATACCCAGTAATGGGATGGCTGGGTCAAATGGTATTTCTAGTTCTAGATCCCTGAGGAATCGCCACACTGACTTCCACAATGGTTGAGCTAGTTTACAGTCCCACCAACAGTGTAAAAGTGTTCCTATTTCTCCACATCCTCTCCAGCACCTGTTGTTTCCTGACTTTTTAATGATTGCCATTCTAACTAGTGTGAGATGGAATCTCATTGTGGTTTTGATTTGCATTTCTCCGATGGCCAGTGATGATGAGCATTTTTTCATGTGTCTTTTGGCTGTGTAAATGTCTTCTTTTGAGAAGTGTCTGTTCATATCCTTCGCCCACTTGTTGATGGGGTTGTTTGTTTTTTTCTTGTAAATTTGTTTGAGTTCATTGTAGATTCTGGATATTAGCCCTTTGTCAGATGAGTAGATGCAAAAATTTTCTCCCATTCTGTAGGTTGCCTGTTCACTCTGATGGTAGTTTCTTTTGCTGTGCAGAAGCTCTTTAGTTTAATTAGATCCCATTTGTCAATTTTGGCATTTGTTGCCATTGCTTTTGGTGTTTTAGACATGAAGTCCTTGCCCATGCCTATGTCCTGAATGGTGTTGCCTAGGTTTTCTTCTAGGGTTTTTATGGTTTTAGGTCTAACATTTAAGAGGATACAAACAAATGGAAGAACATTCCATGCTCATGGGTAGGAAGAATCAATATCGTGAAAATGGCCATACTGCCCAAGGTAATTTATAGATTCAATGCCATCCCCATCAAGCTACCAATGACTTTCTTCACAGAATTGGAAAAAACTACTTTAAAGTTCATATGGAACCAAAAAAGAGCCCACATTGCCAAGTCAGTCCTAAGCCAAAAGAACAAAGCTGGAGGCATCACGCTACCTGACTTCAAACTATACTACAAGGCTACAGTAACCAAAACAGCATGGTACTGGTACCAAAACAGAGATATAGACCCTCAGAAATAATGCCACATATCTACAACTATCTGATCTTTGACAAACCTGACAAAAACAAGAAATGGGGAAAGGATTCCCTATTTAGTAAATGGTGCTGGGAAAACTGGCTAGCCATATGTAGAAAGCTGAAAATGGATCCCTTCCTTACACCTTATACAAAGATTAATTCAAGATGGATTAAAGACTTAAATGCTTCTTTCTTATATTTTATATTTGTTGCTAAGATGTTCCATTAAAAATAATTTCGAAGTTATTCATAATTGCTTGTTGGAACATTTTTTATGATAGCTGCTGCAAAATACTTGTGAGATAATTGCAATACCTGTGTCATCTTGGTGTTGACACTGTTTGAATTTTCTTATTTAGATTTTTGTGGTTCTTGATAATGACAGGTGATTTTTTGTTTATATGTTGGACATTTTGAATATGGTGCATTGAGGCCTGGTTTCTATTTAACGTTTCTGTTTTAGTAGGCAGTCAACTTGTTTAGGTTCAGAACACATGTCTTGACCCATGTTTATGGGCCATGATGCAAATGTTAATTTAGTGTTCAAAGTCTTTATGGTGCTATTCTGGCTTGTCCTACTTGTGTGCTACTTAGAGGTCAATCTGAAGCCTGGTGATGTTTCACATCACTGTTAAGTTCTCAGGTTTTGTGGATGTCATTTCTGATCAGTTTTTAAAATTTTTTTAAAATTATGTATTTATTTTTGAGACAGAGTCTTGCTCTGTTGCCCAGACTGGAGTGCAGTGGCACGATCTTGGCTCACTGCAACCTCTGCCTCCTGGATTCAAGTGATTTTGCTTCCTCAGCCTCCCGAGTAGCTGGGACTACAGGTGCGCACCACCACACCTGGCTAATTTTTGTATTTTTAGTAGAGATGGGGTTTCACCATGTTAGCCAGGATGGTCTTGATCTCCTGACCTCGTGATCCACCTGCCTTGGCCTCCCAAAGTGCTGGGATTACAGGCATGAGCCACCACGCCCGGCCTATTTATTTATTTATTTATTTTGAGACTGAGTGCAAAAGTGTGTCACCCAGGTTGGAGTGCAGTGGCGCTATATCGGCTCACTGCAACCTCCACCTTCTGGATTCAAGTGATTCTCATGCCTCAGCCTCCGAAGTAGCTGGGACTACAGGTGTGTGCCACCACGCCCAGCCTCTGATTAGTTTCTTACATGTACTGCTCACAAGAATTTCATACACAGATTCAGAATATTCCTTTCTCTTTTTTCTGTAATCTTACCAGCCCCACATACTTTAGTTGGGATAGAGAAGAAACTGCCTTGTGATTGCAGGGCAGGGGTTCTGCACCCTGTCTCTACAGCTGCTGCACCAGATACCTTTTGATTCAGAAATTACTTTTTTGGAAATTTAACTTCAGGAAAAATTTAGATAAATGTGTAAAGAGACATACATTTACTGTAGTGTTGGTTTAAATGAAAAGATAAAGTCCACCTACAGGGGAGTGTTTAAATAAATTATGCACTGATTAAATATTATATAGATACATATTATTATGGAAAAATTTTCATGGTATATTGAGTGAAAAGATGCAGGTATGTAAGTTTGAAATCTACTTGGAAAAATGAAGTATCTATCTGTATGTATACTCAGGCATTGAAGAAAGTTAATGATTTAACTTAAATGTTAATAGCAGAGTCATTTTAAGGGATGAGGATGGTTATAGTAATTTTCACTTCCCTCTTTTTTTTTTTTACATTTTTTAGTATTGTATGTTTTTAAATGACCATGCCTTGCTTTGTATTCAAAATAAATTACAAACTCTAATTTGAACAAATCAGATCTAGTCACTTATCTGATGACCAGTACAGTTTTAATCTTAATAAGTCTTCTATTGCCAGTCATTTGATTCTTGTATCTTATGCTGTCCTGCCTGAGAGTAGTCCTACCAAAACCAGTTTTATCTGAGGTTTTTCTTTTCCCTTTTTTTTTTTTTTTTTTTAGAATTGCTTTCCTGTAGAGGAGAAGGATTGAGACATGACCTTTGGTGAAACTGAAGCTATAACTTGAATAATATTCGTTAATCTGGGGAGAATAAAATTTTGAAAGAAGAAATTTAATTTTGATGCTCTTCTTTAAAACCAAGGGCTCCACATTGTCTGTAAGATAAATAATTAAAGCTTTATTTACTATGGCATTCAAGGGACTTCTCAATTGGGCCCCAATCTACTTTTCTGATATCATTTCTGATACTACTTTTCACTTATAGTCCAGCAAGGCCTGTCCACTCACTCTCGTTAGACCCTTCATGCTGTCCTACCTCTGGGCATTGGCTCATATTCACTCCTTGGAATAGACTTGATTTCACCTTTTAAAATCCACTTTTATTTGCTTCATCTAACTTATGACTTCTTCAAAGCAGATCAAATATCGTCTTTTTGTGAAGTATCCCAGCACTCTATTAGGGTGAAATTATCATTCCTCCTGTAATATTTTGTTCCTAAGCTGTTTGTTACTGTATATGATAGTTGTTTACTTTTTTCCTCTTAAGACTGAGATTCTTTCAGTAATTTTTGAATGATTTTCATGAACCAGCTAAGCTTAACTCTGGAGAAACAAAGACGAAAAACATCTGGTTTCTCACCTCCAGGTGCACAGAATCTAGTAAAGCGGGTAAACGTATAAACAGAGAATAATTGAGGTATATAAAAGTGGTTTGGGAACTGTGTGGAGGGCAGTCTCCCTTAGTAGGTGTTTAGGAAGACTTTACAAATGAGATGACATTTGACCTGAATCGCAAATAAGTAGGAGCTTGTCGGATGGATAAAAGGTAGAATGTGAGTCCTTTTAACACCTAGTCAAAAGTGATTGGATGGTGGTTAGTTTTAATGTAATTTTTCTTATTTAGTGTATGAAGATGTCCATAAGTTACAAAGCAGTGTGGTTTCATCAGAATTGCCACTGGACCACAGGGTACTTCATATGATAAAGAAGATGTTTCTTTCCACAGTCATTCAGTCCACCATTGAATAGATCTGAAAGGTGTAAAGTTCACTGATATGCATCTGATTTCTTTTTTTCTTTTTTTTTTTTGAGACAGAGTCTTGCTCTGTCACCCAGGCTGGAGTGCAGTGGTGTGGTCTCGACTCATGCAAGCTCCACCTCCCAGGCTCACGCCATTCTCCTGCCTCAGCCTGTCATGTAGCTGGGACTACAGGTGCTTGCCACCATGCCTGGCTAATTTTTTTTTTTTTTTTTGTATTTTTAGTAGAGATGGGGTTTCACTGTGTTAGTCAGGATGGTCTCGATCTCCTGACCTCGTGATCCGCCTGCCTTGGCCTCCCAAAGTGCTGGGATTCCAGGCGTGAGCCACCCCACCCGGCCCATTTTTTTCTTTTCAACTTTTCTTAGGCTGGACAGACACATTTCAGTGATTGGCAAAGCACCTCATTAAACTTGGCTGCTATAATTTTTCTTCTTTTTTCATCTCATTTTCTATTCTCTCATTTTATTTTTGCCTTTGTTTAATCTACTCTTTGTTGGTTTGGAAGTTCCTTCTGTTTTTAGCTGATAAAAATCTACGACTAATCTCAGATAATTTTATTATTTTTCGTTAGTCATTTTGCTATTCAGGGGTGTTTTCTTTTTTTAAAAAAATAGACTTAATAGACTTAAATAGATAGTTATTATTTGGAATGGACTACATCCAAACAATTATGAGGAACAATTGTGAGGAACTCAGTTCCAGAAACTTTTGTATCCAGTAACTGATAAATAGATAAGTAATGTACTAATGGAAAAAACTCGATCAAATAATAAACCAAAGTCAATCTTTTTTTTTTTTTTTTCCCCTAAGATGGAGTCTTGCTCTCTTGCCCAGGCTGGAGTGCAATGGCGTGATCTTGGCTCACTGCAACCTCTGCCTCCTGGGTTCAAACAATTCTTCTGCCTCAGCCTCCCAAGTAGCTGGGATTACAGGCGTGCACCACCACACCCGTCTAATTTTTGTATTTTAGTAGAGATGGGGTTTCACCATGTTGGCCAGGCTGGTCTCGAACTCCTGATCTTGTGATCTGCCCACCTTGGCCTCCCAAAGTGCTGGGATCACAGGCGTGAGACACTGTGCCCTGCCAAAAATTTTTTTTTTTTGAGACAGAGTCTCGCTCTGTCATCCAGGCTGGAATGCAGTGGTGCGATCTCAGCTCACTGCAAGCTCAACCTCCCGGGTTCACGCCATTCTCCTGCCTCAGCCTCCTGAGTAGCTGGGACCAAAGACCCCTGCCACCACGCCCGGCTAATTTTTTTGTATGTTTAGTAGAGACAAGGTTTCACCGTGTTAGCCAGGATGATCTCAATCTCTTGACCTTGTGATCGCCCATCTCGGCCTCCCAAAGTGCTGGGATTACAGGCGTGAGCCACCGCGCCCAGCCCAAAGTCAATGTTTTGACCAAGAGCAAGGCTACCACTTGTTATTATTAATTAATTAATTAATTAATTAATTTTTGAGACAGGGTCTTACTATATTGCCTAGGCTGGCTTCAAACTCCCAGGCTCAAGTGATCCTCCTGCCCTGCCTCCTGAGTAGCTGGAATTACAGGTGCGTGGCGCCATGCCTTACTATTTATTTCTAAACACATTGCAGAACATGGAATTTAGGGAGGACAAATTTTGATGAATCAAATAGGTATAGTGATATGGGTAGAAGATTGGTTTACTTTATCATAATTCCTTAAATACATATTGTGTACTTGATTAATGAAATGTTAAAAATAAATGCTTAGATATCATTTGACATTAAATAACTCAATCACTAAGCATGAACTCCATATTTAAAAACTTTATAAAATTTTCAGAGCTCACACAGACAAAATTCCTTATTGTCATGATCACTACGTATAAGTTTGAGTTCTTTCTTACTTTTTTTTTTTTGAGACAGAGTTTCGCTCTTGTCGCCCGGGCTGGAGTGCAATGGCGTGACTTCGACTCACTGCAACCTCTGTCTCCTGAGTTCAAGCGATTCTTCTGCCTCAGCCTCCCGAAGTAGCTGGGATTACAGGTGCCCGCCACCACACCCAGCTAATTTTTTTGTATTTTTAGTTGAGGCGGGGTTTTACCATATTGGCCAGACTGGTCTGAACTCCTTATCTCAGGTGATCCACCTTATCTCAGGCACCCCCCGCGATGCAGGGAGTGAGAGCCAGCCCCTCTTCCCTTGGGCCTCCCAAAGTGCTGGGACTACAGGCATGAGCCACAAAGCCCAGCCCTTTCTTACTCTTCATTACATTGTTGAGTATAGTATTAACTATCCTATCAACTGACATTTATATTGCCATTTAATCCAGTTTGATAATTTTTATTTTTAAAATGTGGCATTTCTTGTCCAACAGGAAAATATCACAATCCTAA
The DNA here is from genome assembly GCF_000001405.40 of Homo sapiens. Classification (NCBI taxonomy): domain Eukaryota; kingdom Metazoa; phylum Chordata; class Mammalia; order Primates; family Hominidae; genus Homo; species Homo sapiens. The sequence continues at coordinate 3,575,964 of NT_167246.2, forward strand.
ATATATATGCACCTAACACTGGCGCTCCCAAATTTATAAAACAATTACTACTAGACCTAAGAAATGATATATACAGCAACACAATACTAGTGGGGGACTTTAATACGCCACTGACAGCACTAGACAGATCATTAAGACAGAAAGCCAACAAAAAAACAATGAATTTAAACTATGCCCTGGAACAAATAGACTTAACAGATATATACAGAACATTTTACCCAACAACTGCAGAATATACGTTCAATTCTTCAGCACATGGAACTTTCTCCAGGATAGACCACATGATAGAGCACAAAACAAGTCTCAATAAATTTAAGAAAACTGAAATTATGTTAAGCACTGTCTCAGACCACAGTGAAATAAAACTGGAAATCAGCTCCAAAAGGAACCTTTAAAACCACGCAAATACATGGAAATTAAATAACCTGCTCCTGAATGATCATTGGGTCAACAATGAAATCAAGATGAAAATTAAAAAATTATTCAAGCTGAATAACAATAGTGACATGACCTACAAAAACCTCTGGGATACAGCAAAGGCGGTGCTAAGAGGAAAGTTCTTAGCCCTATATGCCTACATCAGGAAGTCTGAAAGAGCACAAATAGACAACCTAAGGTCACACCTCAAGGAACTAGAGAAACAAGAACCAAGCCCAAAGCCAGCAGAAGAAAGGAAATAACCCAGATCAGAGCAGAGCTAAATGAAATTGAAACAAAAAAATACAGAAGTGAAACAAAAAGCTGGTTCTTTGAAAAGATAAATAAACTTGATAGACCATTGGCAAGATTAACCAAGAAGAGAGAAAATCCAAAGAAGCTCAAGTAGAAATGAAATGGGAGATAGTACAACTGACACCACAGAAATACAAAAGATCATTTGAGGCTACTATGAACACCTTTATGTGCATAAACTAGAAAACCTGGAGGAGATCGATACATTCCTGGGAAGAGAAAACCCTCCTACCTTAAATCAGGAAGAATTAGATACCCTGAACAGACCAATAACAAGCAGCAAGATTGAAATGGTAATAAAAAAATTACAAAAAAAAAAGTCCAGGGCCAGACGGATTCACAACTGAGTTCTACCAGACATTCAAAGAAGAATTGGTACCAATCCTATTGACACTATTCCACAAGATAGAGAAAGAAGGAATCCTCCCTAAATCATTTTATGAAGCCAGTATCATCCTAATACCAAAGCCAGGAAAGAACAAAAGAACATAACAACAACAAAAAAGAAAACTGAAGACCAATATCCCTGATGAACATAGATGCAAAAATCCTTAACAAGATACCAGCTAACCAAATCCAACAACATATCAAAAAGATAATCCACCATGATCAAGTGGGTTTCATAGCAGGGATGCAGGGATGGTCTAACATATGCACGTCAATAAATGTAATACACCACATAAACAATTAAAAACAAAAATCACATGATCATCTCAATAGACACAGAAAAAGCATTTGACAAAATGCAGCATCCTTTTATGATTAAAACTCTCAGCAAAATCAGCCTACAAGGGACATACCTCAATGTAATAAAAACCATGTATGATAAACGCACAGCCAACATAATACTGAATGGGGAAAAGTTGAAAGCATTCCCTCTGAGAATTGGAACAAGACAAGGATGCCCACTTTCACCACTTCAACATAGTACTGGAAGTCCTAGCCAGAGCAATCAGACAAGAGAAAGAATAAAGGCATCCAAGTTGGTAAAGAGGAAGTCAAACTGTCACTGTTTGCTGATGATATGATTGTATACCTGGAAAACCCAGAAGACTCCTCCAAGAAGCTCCTAGAACTGATAAAATAATTCAGCAAATTTCCTGGATACAAAATTAATGTACACAAATCAGTAGCTCTCCTGTACACCAACAGTGACCAAGCTGAGAATCAAATCAAGAACTCAACCACTTTTTACAATAGCTGCAACAAACAAACAAACAAATCACACAATCAAAAAAACTTAGGAATATACCTAACCAAGGAGGTGAAAGACCTCTACAAGGAAAACTACAAAACACTGCTGAAAACAATCATAGATGACACAAACAAATGGAAACACACCCCATGCTCGTGGATGGGTAGAATCAATATTGTGAAAATGACCATACTGCCAAAAGCAATCTACAAATTCAGTGCAATTCCCATATAAATACCAGCATCATTCTTCACAGAACTAGAAAAAAAAATCCTAAAATTCATATGGAACCAAAGAAGAGCCCAAATAGCCAAAGCAAGGCTAAGGGAAAAGAACAAATCTGGAGGCATCACATTACCTGATTTCAAACTATACTGTAAGGCCATAGTCACCAAAACAGGATAGTACTGGTATAAAAATAGGGACAAAGACCAATGGAACAGAATAGAGAACCCAGAAATAAACCCAAATACTTACAGCCAGCTGATCTTTGACAAAGAAAACAAAAACATAAAGTGGGTAAAGGACACCCTATTCAACAAATGGTGCTAGGATAATTGGCAAGCCACATGTAGGAGAATGAAACTGGATCCTCATCTCTCACCTTATACAAAAATCAACTCAAGAAGGACTAAGGACTTAAATCTAAGACCTGAAACTATAAAAATTCTAGAAGGTAACATTGGAAAAACCCTTGTAGACATTGGCTTAGGCAAGGATTTCATGACCAAGAACCAAAAGCAAATGCAATAAAAACAAAGATAAATAGCTGGGACTTAATTTAAGAGCTTTTGCATGGCAAAGGGAATAGTCAGCAGAGTAAACAGACAACCCACAGAGTGGGAGAAAATCTTCACAATCTATACATCTGACAAAGGACTAATATCCAGAATCTACAACAAACTCAAGCAAATTAGCAAGAAAGAAAGAAACAATCTCATCAAAAATTGAGCTAAGGACATGAACAGACAATTCTCAAAAGAAGATATACAAATGGCCAACAAACATATGAAGAAATGCTCAGCATCACTAAGGATCAGGGAAATGCAAATCAAAACCACAGTGTGATACCACCTTACTCCTGCTTCTCTGAATCAGGGTTTTTCTAAAGAAATCTTTCAGAATCAGCAAAAGTGGGGATGACCCAGGCATCTTGATTTGCAAAGTCACAAAACTAAGTTGTCAATTATCACTGTAGATGAGCAACTCATCTTTTTAAAGTATAGTTACTGAACTGATTCTGAGAAATCTTTAGAGAGAAAAAACTCAACAGTACAAATTAACTAATTGGGAAAGTTAGAATGTCCTTTCTGAATTTTTCATTAAAAAATTACATTATCTGAAATAACATACAGCTACTAAACTGCTTTGTATTCTATTAAGAAATAGCTCCTAAAGATGTAGTCTTGTTTCATAGTTGTAAGCCCAATTCTTCTCTGTATAGAAAGGAAACATTGTGTACTTAATGAATTATTTATACAGAGCATTTGTTGCCAACTGTTGTTCCAGCTATCTACACAGGAGTCTGTTCTGAGGTGGCAATAGCACATGGGAAGATGAACTTTCCCTGTTTGTTTACCCGTTTTTCTTTGGCTGTATCTGATGACAGTATAAGATGTTCTTAATAAAGTTTTATGTTCTTTTTGAAAAAAAAATCAGAAAATAATAGAGGTTGGCATAGATGCGGTGAACAGGGAACACTTCTACACTGCTGGTGGGAATGTAAACTAGTACAACCACTATAGAAAACAGTTTGGAGATTCCTTAAAGAACTAGAAGTAGAACTACCATTCAATCGAGCAATGCCACTAGTGGGTATCTACCCAGAGCAAAATAAGTCATTATACAAAAAAGATACTTGCACATGCATGTTTATAGCAGCACAAGTTACAACTGCAAAAATGTGGAACCAACCCAAATACCCATCAGTCAACGAATAGACAAGGAAACTATGGCATATATATATGGTGGAATACTACTCAGCCATAAAAAGGAATGAATTAATGGCATTTGCAGCAATCTGGATGGGATTGGACACTATTCTAAGTGAAGTAACTCAGGAATGGAAAACCAAACATCATATGTTCTCACTCATAAGTGGGAACTAAACTATGAGGATGCAAAGCCATAAGAATGATATTGGGGACTCAGTGGGAAAGGGTGGGAAGGGAGTGAGGGATAAAAGACTACAAATTGGGTTCACTGTATACTGCTTGGGTGATGGGTGCATCAAAGTGTCACAAATCACCGCTAAAGAACTTACTAGTGTAACCAAATACCACCTGTCCCCCTAAAACCTATGGAAATAATAAATAAATAAATAAAAACTTAAGTAAAAACAAATAAAATGTGGCCATTTAGTCCATTTATAATTAATGGAATTATTGATTGATATATATGGGTCTAAGATTATTTTATTGCTCGTTTTCTATTTTTTCACCTGTTTTGTATTATATGTTTTCTTATGTTTTTGGCCTCCTATTTGTTTATTGAGACCGCATCTGGCTCTGTTACCCAGGCTGGTGTGCAGTGGTGTGGTCTCTCTTGCAACCTCCACCTCCCAGGCTCAAGTCATCCTGCCACCTCAGCCTCCCGAGTAGCTGGGGCTACAGGTGCACACCAACATGCTCAGCTAATTTTTGTATTTTTTGTAGAGATGGGGTTTTGCTATGTTGCTTGGGCTGGCCTTGAACTCTTGGGCTCAAGGAATCCACTCGCCTCTGCCTCCCAAAGTGCCAGGATTATAGGCATGAGCCACTGCATCTGGCCTCTTGGCCTCCTTTTGGAATGATTTTTATAAATTATTCTATGATCAGCCTTTGTTAGTTTTGTATTATGCATTTTAAATTGTTATTGTTGTTACTTAGAAAATACAAATATATCCCTGATGTGAGTACTTTATTTTAAAATTTATATATTTAAACTGACAAATAAAAATTGTATACAATTATCATGTATAACATGATGTCTTGAAATACGTATACATCACAGAATGCTAAATCATGCTAATTAACATATATCAGCTCATATACTTATCCTTTTTTTATGATGAGAACACTTAAAATCTACTCAGTGATTTTTCAAGAATACAATAATGTTGTTTTAACTATAGTCTCCATGTTATAAAATAGATATTCTGACTTCCTTATTTATTCTATGAAACTAAATTTTGTATCCTTTGACAAACAACTCCCCAATTCCCCCATTTTCTGTCCCCCATTTCCCTGCTCCCAGTACCTGGTAACCACCATTCTACTCTCTGCTTCTTCGTTCAACTTTTTAAGATTCCACATATAAGTGAGATCATGTGGTATTTATCTTTCTGTGCCTTACATTTCACTTAACATAATGTCCTCCAGGTTCATCCATGTTGTCACAAATGACAGAATTTCCTTGTTTTTTAAAAGCTGAATAGTATTCCACTACATACATACACATATATATATATATATATATATATATATATCACATTTTCTTTATCCATTTGATGCAGGACAGACATGCCCCAAAATTAGAGCTTAGCCCAGGAAAGTTCTTGACTTTGCCCAGGAATGAATTCAAGGGCAAGCCAGTGGTTTTAGACAGCAATCTTTTATTGAACTTTATTGCTCCTTGCAGAGCAGGGCTAACTCATAGATAATGTGCCAAGTTGGCAATGAATGGACTGTTGGCAACTCTATACCCACTTATACCCACTTTCAATCATATGCCAATCAGTGGTGGGTTAATGCAAATTGAGGAGTAGTTTATTTAAAGCTTTCTAGGAAAGGGGTGGTAACTTCTCGGTCATTGTCATGGGAAGGGGCAATAACTTCTGGGTCCTTACCATGGCATTTGAAAACCGTCATGGTGCTGGTGTCTTATACTAATGAGTAGTGGGGGCAACTAGGGATTGCTTTTGTTACCATCTGCTAGTTTCTGCTGTTTTTTTCACTTATCCTGTCAGTACTAGGAAATAAGTCCTGCCAGTCTCCTACCTCATTCCCCCCTCAGATATTAGATACTCCTCCTTAATCTTAAGGGGGCTGAAGAAGGGTGGAGGTCCATCTTCTGTAACTGCTTCCTGCTGATTTTATGGGCATAGGCCCTGATATGGTTTGGATTTGTGTCCCTGCCCAAATCTTATGTCAAATTTTAATCCCCAATGTCGGAGGAGGGGCCTGGTGGGAGGTGATTGGATCAAGGGGGTGGAGTTCCCCTTTGCCATTCTTATGATACTGAGTTCTCACGAGATCTGGTTGTTTAAAAGTGTGCAGCACCTCCCCCTTCTCTCTCTTCCTCCTGCTCCAGCCATGTAAGATATTGCCTGATTCCCCTTCACATTCCATCATGATTGTAAGTTTCCTGAGGCCTCCCCAGAACATGTACAGCCTGCAGAACTGTGAGCCAATTAAACCTCTTTTCTTTATAAATTACCCAGTTTCAGGCATTTCTTTATAGCAATGTGAGAACGGACTAACACAGAAAATTGGTACTGGGAAGTGGGGCATTGCTATAAAGATACCTGAAAATATAAATCTTAAACTATGAACTTTGGGTGATAATAACACATACACATAGATGAGACTATGAACAAATATTAGGAGAAGCAAATCGTAATTTTAGAAACAGTAAATATTAGTAATTGGCTAAAACTCAATAGGCTAATCAGGACATTAGACACTGAAAAGAAAATCAGTGAATTGGAAGGTAGACTTGAGGAAGTTGTCTATACTGCATTGCAGACAGACTTAAAAATACATAAAAACAAGGTTAACAGAAATAGAGACTAGAATGAGAAGATCCAAAATACATTTGAATTCCAGAAAGAGAATATAGAAAGCATGGAGGAAAAGCAAAGTTCAAAGAAAGAATGCTTAAGAATTTTTCAAAATTGATGAAAGACATTACTGTAAAGTTTTAAGATGCACCCTCCTAAAGCAGGAATAATGAAAATGGACTGGACACATAGTAGTGAAACTGTGTAACACCAAGACAAAGACAAAATTCTAAATATTACCAGACAGAAAAAGACAAAATAACCTGCAAACTAACTAGGTATTAAGCAGACTTCTTAAGAGCAAAAACAAAGGCCAAAAGGCAATGGATAACATCTTCAATTAGCTGAGAAAATACATTGAGTTCCTTATTCAGCAAAACTGTTATTTTACAATGAAGGCGAAGTTAATTTTTCTGGCAAAAGTCCAAGAATTTATTATTCACAGATCCTCATTTAAAAATGAAACCACAGGCGGGGTGCGATGGCTCACACTGGTAATCTCAACACTTTGGGAGGCCAAGGCAGGCAGATCACTTGAGGTCAGGAGTTCGAGACCAGCCTGGCCAACATGGTGAAACCCTGTTTCTATTAAAAATAGAAAAATTAGCTGGGTATGGTGGCACATATCTGTAGTCCCAGATACTCGGGAGGCTGAGGTGGGAGAATCGCTTGAACTCGGGAGGTGGAGGTTGCAGTGAGCTGAGATTGCACTACTGCGCCCTATCTTGGGTGACAGAATGAGAGAGCCTGTCTCACACAAAAAAACTAAAAACCAAAAAACAAAAAAATCAAACCACAAAGCAAGGATTAAGATACAAAGAGAAATAGTGAGCAATATTGGTAAATATATGAATATATCTGAAAAACACAGACTATAAAAATAATTTTATCATGACTAATTTTGGGGTGCATAAATGTAGCAGAATGAAAATATCAGACAACAATAGCAAAGACAGTGGAATAGTACTGTAAAATTATGCAATATGGAAAGCACTTGGTAAGGTGTCATAAACAAAACTGAGTAAATCAGTAATCATCATAAATACAAATGGTTTAAACTTGCCCCTTAAAAGATCTATACTCTAAGACAGGGAAAAAGGATCCAGTTATTTTCTATTCACAAGACTTATTGGAATTTGAAAAGTAAAATAATAGAGAAAGACAAAGCAGAGGAAAATATTAACCAAAAAGCTATTATTTAAAATAGAATTTAAATCAGAAATTACTATTTGAAATAAAGAATACTGGAAGTTCCTGGGAAAGATGGCTGAATAGGAACAGCTCTGGTCTGCAGCTCCCAGTGAGACCAATGCAGAAGGCGGGTGATTTCTGCATTTCCAACTGAGGTACCCAGTTCATCTCATTGGGACTGGTTAGAAAGTAGGTGCAGCTCATGGAGGGTGAGCAGAAGTGGGGTGGGTTGTTGGTTCACCTGGGAAGTGCAAGGAGCTGGGGACCTCCCTCCTCTAGCCAAGGGGAGCCGTGAGGGACTGTGCTATCCGGACCAGGGACTGTGCTATCTGGACCAGATACTATGCTTTTCCCATGGTTTTTGCAACCCACAGACCAGGAGATTCCCTTGTGTGCCTACACCACTAGGGTGCTGGGTTTCAAGCACAAAACTGGGTGGCTGTTTGGGCAGACACCGAGCTAGCTGCAATTTTTTTTTTCATAGGCCAGTGGCACCTGGAACCCCAGCAAGACAGAACCATTCACTCCCCTGGAAAGGGGGCTGAAGCCAGGGAGCCAAGTGGTCTCGCTCAGTGGGTCCCACTCCCCCAGCGCCCAGCAAGCTAATAACCACTGGCTTGAAATTCTCACTGCCAGCATAGCAGTCTGAAGTCGACCTGGGACAATCCAGGTTGATGTGGGGAGGGGCGCCCGCCATTACTGAGGCTTGTGTGGGTGGTTTTCCCCTCACAGTGTTAAGGAAGCCACTGGGAAGTTCGGACTTTGCAGAATTCACTGCAGTGCAGCAAAGCAGCTGTGGCCAGACTGCCTCTCTAGATTCCTCCTCAATGGGCAGGGCATCTTTGAAAGAAAGGCAGCCCCAGTCAGGGGCTTATATGTAAAACTCCCATCTTCCTGGGACAGAGCACCTGGGGGAAGGGGCGGCTGTGGGAGCAGCTTCAGCAGACTTAAACATTCCTGCCTGCCAGCTCTGAAGAGAACAGCAGATCTCCCAGCACAGTGCTTGAGCTCTGCTAAGGGACAGACTGCCTCCTCAAGTGGGTCCCTGACCCCCATGCCTCCTAACTGGAAGACACCTCCCATCAGTGGTTGACAGACACCTCATACAGGAGAGCTCTGGCTGGCATCAGACTGGTGCCCTCTGAGATGAAGCTTCCAGAGGAAGGAACAGGCAGCAATCTTTGCTGTTCTGCAGGCTCCACTGGTGATACCCGGGCAAATAGGGTGTATAGTGGACCTCCAGTAAACTCCAGCAGGCCTGCAGAAGAGGGTCCTGACTGTTAGAAGGAAAACCAAAAAACAGAAAGCAATAACATCAGCTGGGCATGGTGGTTTATTCCCAGAACTTTGGGAAGCTGAGGCAGGCAAATCACAAGGTCAGGAGTTTGAGACCAGCCTAGCCAATATGGTGAAACCCTGTTTCTACTAAAAATACAAAAAGTAGCTGGGCATGGTGGCGCGCACTTGTAGTCCCAGCTACTTGGGAGGCTGAGGTGGGAGAATCACTCGAACCTGGAAGGTGGAGGTTGCAGTGAGCCGAGATCACGCCGCTGCACTCCAGGTTGGGCAACAGAGCGAGACTTTGTCTCAAAAAAAAAAAAAAAAAAAAAAAGGCAATAACATCAACATCAACAAAAAAAAGGATGCCCACACAAAAACCACATCCAAGGTCATCAACATCAAAGATGAAAAGTAGATAAATCCACAAAGATGAGGAAAAACCAGTGCAAAAATGCCGAAAATTCCAAAAACCAGAATGCCTCTTCTCCTTCAAATGATTGCAATGCCTCTCCAGCAAGAGCACAAAACTGGACAGAGAATGAGTTTGACGAACTGACAGAAGTAGGCTTCAGAAAGTGGGTAATAACAAACTCCTCTGAGCTAAAGGAGCATGTTCAAACCCAATGCAAGGAAACTAAGAACCTTGATAAAAGGTTACAGGAACTGCTAACTAGAATAACTAGTTTAGAGAAGAACATAAATGACCTAATGGAGGTGAAAAAACACAGCACAAGAACTTCGTGAAGTGTACACAAGTATCAATAGCCAAATTGATCAAGTGGAAGAAAGGATATCAGAAATTGAAGATCAATTTAATGAAATAAAGTGTGAAGACAAGATTAGAGAAAAAAAATGAAAAGGAATGAACAAAGCCTCCAAGAAATATGGGACTATGTGGAAAGACCAAACCTACGATTGATCGGTGTACCTGAAAGTGACAGGAAGAATGGAACCAAGTTGGAAAACAAGCTTCAGGATGTTATCCAGGAAAACTTCCCCAGCTTAGCAAGACAGGCCAGCATTCAAATTCAGGAAATATAGAGAACACCACAAAGATATTCCTCGAGAAGAGCAACCCCAAGACACAAAATCTTCAGATTCTCCAAGGTTGAAATGAAGGAGAAAATGTTAAGGGCAGCCAGAGAGAAAGGTCAGGTTACCTATAAAGGGAAGCCCACTAGACTAACATTGGCTCTCTCTGCAGAAACCCTATAAGCCAGAAAAGAGTGGGGGCCAATACTCAGTATTCTTAAAGAAAATAATTTTCAACTCAGAATTTCATATCCAGCCACACTAAGCTTCATAAGGGAAGGAGAAATAAAATCCTTTACAGACAAGCAAGTGCTGAGGGATTTTGTCACCACCAGGCCTACCTTAAAAGAGCTCCTGAAGGAAGCACTAAATATGGAAAGGAAAAACCAGTACCAGCCACTGCAAAAACACACCAAAATATAAAGACCAACGACACTATGAAGAAACTGCACCAACTAATATGCAAAATAACCAACTAGCACCAGGAGGACAGGATCAAATTCACACATAACAATATTAACCTTAAATGTAAATGGGCTAAATGCCCCAGTTAAAAGACACAGACTGGCAAATTGGATAAATAGTCAAGACCCATCAGTGTGCTGTATTCAGGAGACCCATCTCATGTGCAAAGATACACATAGGTTCAAAATAAAGGGATGGAGGAATATTTAACAAGCAAATGGAAAGAAAAAAAAAAGCAGGGGTTGCAATCTTAGTCTCTGATAAAACAGACTTTAAACAAACAAAGATCAAAAAGACAAAGAAGGGCATCACATAATGGTAAAGGGATCAATATAACAAGAACAGCTAACTATCCTAAATATATATGCACCCAATACGGGAGCACCCAGATTCATAAAGCAAGTTCCTAGAGACCTATAAAGAGACTTAGACTCCCACACAATAATAATAATTCCTGGACACATACACTCTCCCAAGACTAAACCTGGAAGAAGTTGAATCCCTGAATAGACCAGTAACAAGTTCTGAAATTGAGGCAATAATTAATAGCCTACTACCCCCCAAAAAAGCCCAGGAGCAGACGGATTCACAGGCGAATTCTACCAGAGGTACAAAGAGGAGCTGGTACCATTCCTTCTGAAACTATTCCAAACAATAAAAAAAGAGGGACTCCTCCCTAACTCATTTTATGAGGCCAGCGTCATCCTGATACCAAAACCTAACAGAGACACAACAAAAAAAGAAAGTTTCAGGCCAATATCTCTGAAGAAGATTGATGCAAAAATCCTTAGTAAAATACATGCAAACTGAATCCAGCAGCACATCAAAAAGCTTATCCACCGTGATCAAGTCGACTTCATCCCTGGGATGCAAGGCTGGTTCAACATACGCAAATCAATAAACATAATCCATCACATGAACAGAACCAATGACAAAACCCACATGATTATCTCAATAGATACAGAAAAGGCCTTCGATTAAATTTGATACCCCTTCATGCTAAAAACACTCAATAAACTAGGTATTGATGAAACATATCTCAAACTAATAAGAGCTATTCGTGACAAACCCATAGCTAATATACTGAATGAGCAAAAGCTGGAAGCATTCCATTTGAAAACTAGCACGAGACAAAGATGCCCTCTCTCACCACTCCTGTTCAACATAGTGTTGGAAAATCTGGCCGGGGCAATCAAGCAAGAGAAAGCAATAAAGAGTATTCAAATAGGAAGAGAGGAAGTCAAATTGTCTCTGTCTGCAGATGACATGATTGTATATTTAGAAAACTCCATCGTCTCAGCCCCAAAACTTCTTAAGCTGATAAGCAACTTCAGCAAAGTCTCAGGATACAAAATTAATGTGCAAAAATCACAAGCATTCTATATACCAATAATAGACAAAGAGAGCCAAATCATGAGTGAGCTCACAATTGCTACAAAGAGAATAAAACACCTAGAAATACAACTTACAAGGGATGTGAAGGACCTTTTCAAGGAGAACTACACACCACTGCTCAAGGAAATAAGAGAGGACACAAACAAGTGGAAAAACATTCCATGCTCGTGGATAGGAAGAATCAATATTGTGAAAATGGCCATATGGCCCAAAGTAATTTATAGATTCAATGCTATTCCCATCAGGCTACCATTGACTTTCTTCACAGAATTAGAAAAAACGACTTCAAATTTCATATGGAACCAAAAAAAGGGCCCATATAGCCAAGACAATCCTAAGCAAAAAGAACAAAGCTGGAGGCATCATGCTACCTGACTTCAAACTATACTATAAGGCTACAGTAACTAAAAGAACATGGGACTGGTACCAAAACTGATATATAGACCAATAGAACAGAAGAGAGGCTTCAGAAATAACACCACATGTCTACAACCATCTGATCTTTGACAAACCTGACACACACAAGCAATGGGGAAAGGATTCCCTAATTAATAAATGGTGTTGGGAAAACTGGCTAGCCATATGCAGAAAACTGAAACTGGACCCCTTCCTTACACCTTATACAAAATTACCTGAATAAAGACTTAAACAGAAAACCTAAAACCGTAAAAACTCTAGAAAAAAACCTAGGCAATACCATTCAGGACATAGGCATGGGCAAAAAAGATTTCATGACTAAAACACCAAAAGCAATGGCAACAAAAGCCAAAATTGACAAATGGGATCTAATTAAACCAAAGAGCTTCTGCGCAGCAAAAGAAACTTGTCATCAGAGTGAACAGGCAGCCTACAGAATGGGAGAAAATTTTTGCAATCTATCCATCTGAGGAAGGTCTAATATCCAGAACCTACAGGGAACTTAACAAATTTACAAGAAAACAAAACAACCTCATCAAAAAGTGGGCAAAGGATATGAACAGACACTTCTCAAAAGAAGACATTTATGTGGCCAAGAAACATATGAAAAAAGCTCATTATCACTGGTCCTTAGAGAAATGCAAATCAAATCCACAATGAGATTCCATCTTATGCCAGTTAGAATGGCAATCATTAAAAAGTCAGGAAACAACAGATGCTGGAGAGGCTGTGGAGAAATAGGAACACTTTTACACTGTTGATGGGAGTGTAAATTAGTTCAACCATTGTGGAAGACAGTGTGGTGATTCCTCAAGGATCTAGAACCAGAAATACCATTTGACCCAGCAATCCCATTACTGGGTATATCCCCAAAGGATTATAAATCATTCTACTATAAAGACACATGCACACGTATGTTTACTGCAGCACTATTTACAATAGCAAAGACTTGGAACCAACCCAAATGCCCATCAATGATAGACTGGATAAAGAAAATGTGGCACATATATACTATGCAGTCATAAAAAAGAATGAGTTCATGTTCTTTGCAGGAACATGGATGAAGCTATAAACCATCATTCTCAGCAAACTAACACAGGAACAGAAAACTAAACACTGCATGTTCTTGCTCATAAGTGGGAGTTGAACAATGACAACACATGGACACGGGGACGGGGATATCTCACACCAGGGCCTGTCAGGGTGTGAGGGGCAAGAGGAGGGAGAGCATTAGGACAAATACCTAATGCAGGTGGGGCTTAAAACCTAGATGACAAATTGATGGGTGCAGCAAACCACCATGGCACGTGAATACTTATGTAACAAACCTGCACGTTCTGTACATGTATCCCAGAACTTAAAGTATAATAATACAAAAAGAAAGAAAGAATATCATTAAAATTAATAAAAGAAATTATTCTCCTGGAAAAAGCTGGATTCTATACACACAGAACAAATACTAAAAATGCATAAATGTAAATTGTATGAAGCAAAATTGTATCTCTTTACACAGTATACTAAGAAATCCAAGAAATGGCCAGAAAATTATTAGTAATGATATGAGAGTCTGATGTCACATTAATCAAGATAAATACAAAGATTACTTTTCTCTACACTTGTTAAAATTAATTAAAAAAATGTAAAAATCACACTTACAATGACAACAAAACATTATAGGTACCTAGGAGTAAATATAACAAGAACTAATATGAAGAAGTCTGTAAACTTTTCAGAAAGCACCAATTGTAAAGTCTTGTGAAAGCACCAATATGAAGACCTAAACCAATGAAGACTCATACAACATTTCTGGGTGAAGTGACTTCAGTAATAACAATAATGTCAAATATCTCCAAATAGTTAACTCATTTTCAGCCAGAATGCTATTTTTTTTAGAGGGGAGTCAGGTAAAATTAAAGTTCATGTGGTGGAACATATTCCAAAAGAGCCAAGAAAACAAAGAACAAAGAGCAGAATGAGACATGCTTAATAGATACTCAAACTTTCTATATACCCTGTATAATCAAAGCAGTATGATATGACGTTTTTATCCTAATTGCCTCACTTTACAAAATTGTAATATTACCAATATACTGTATATCTGCTTGTGTATTTTATTGTCTATATATCTGCTTATGTACTTTATACATAAGCTGATAAGCAACTTCAGCAAAGTCTTAGGATACTGAACATCTGTGATTTATACCTGAAAAGAATAAATCGCAATAAATCATTGGATTTCTTGATCCACCCAGAACTCGTTTTTGACCCTTGGAGGGCAATGTGGCCCCTGTTGAGAATGCATGATTTAGGGGAAAAAGAATAATTGATTCTACAAATGCTACTGATATAATTTGATATCTGTCAAGAAGGAAAAAAAGTGAAACCTCTGTTCACACCATAAACAAAATGGATTAAATATTTAATTGAAGAGAAATAGAAAATAAAAATTATAAAAGAGAAAAAAATTAAGTGACTATAAATATGTGTACCATAGTAGTCAAGGAGACCATTTATTTATTTATTTATTTATTTATTTTATTTTATTTTTTCAACTTTATTTTAGATTCAGCAAGTACATGTGGAGGTTTGTTACCTGTGAGTATTGTATAATGCTGAGGTTTGGAATATGAATGATCCTGTCACTCAGGTAGTGAGCATAGTAGCCAACAGGTAGATTTTCAACCCTCATCCTCCTCTCTTCTTCCCCTCTCTTCTTGTCTCCAGTATCTATTGTTCCCATCTTTATGTTCATGTGTACCCAATGTTTAGCTCCCACTTGTGAGAACAAGCTGTATTTGGTTTTGTTTCTGTGTTAATTAGCATAGGATAATGGCCTCCAGCTGCATCTGTGTGGCTGCAAAGGACATTTCATTCTTGTTAATGGCTGGGTAGTATTCCATGGTATATATGTACCACATTTCTTTATCCAGTCCACTACTGATGGGCACCTAAGTTGATTCCGTGTCTTTGCTATTGTGAATAGCACTGCGATGAACATATGAACGCACGTGTCTTTTTGGTAGAATAATTTTTCTTTGAGTGTTATATATATATATGTAATGGGATTGCTGGGCCAAATGGTAGTTCTTTTAGTTATTTGAGAAATATCCAAACTGCTTTCCACAGTGGCTGAACTAACTTACATTCTCATTAATCATGTATATGCATTCCAAAGAGACCCTTTAGAAAGCCCAGAAGTTTCCGAGGATAAGGCAGACATATTTGACTAGATGAAATATATTTTTGTATAGTAAAATGTACCTTCATTTAATCTACTTCATGTCAGTTAACAAATCTTTGATGAGCATCTACTATGTGCGAGGCACTTTTCTAAGCATGGAGATTCAGCAGTGAACAAAGTCCCTTAGAGTTTACATTCTTGTGGGGCAGAAAGTCAATAAACAAAAATAAATATATGATGTCAGGTGATAAATGCTAGTAATAAAGATACATCAGGGCAAAGAGATAGAGAATGGGGGGTACTGTTTTACTTAGGGTAGTCAAATTTAAGCATATTTCTTAAAATAATTGAGTAGTGCATATGTTTGAGGGGGAGTGTTCAGGCTGATTCTGAAGCAAGAACATGCTTGGCAGGCATGAGGAGAAATGAGGAGGCCAGTGTGGCTGCATCAATGGAAGGGAGATGGAGAGTGGGTGATGAGGCTAGAGGAGAAGCCAGAAGCTAGATACTGTAAGGCCTTCAAGGCCAGGATAAGAACTTTCATGAAGCTGGGCCTGGTGGCTCAGCCTAATCCCAGCACTTTGGGAGGCTGAGGCGGGAGGTTTGCTTGAGCCCAGGAGTTTGAGACCAGCCTGGGCAACATAAGACCTCATCTCTAGCAAACCTAAAAAATAAAAAATTAGTTGGGCATGGTGGCGTGCATTTGTAGTCCCAACTACTCAGGAGGCCAAATGGAAGGATTGCTTGAGCCTGGGAGGTTGAGGTTGCAGTGAGCTGTGATCATGCCAGTGCACTCCAGCCTGGGCAACAGCTCGAGACCCTATCTCAAACTAACAAACAAAGAAACAAAAAAACAACTTTGCAATTTTTACGCTGATGGGGGTTGGTCTTTGGAGAGTTTTGAGTAGAGAAGTGACTTCATCTGATTTATATTTTGAAAGCACGATTCCGTTGGGAGTGGGGAGTGGGATTGGGAAGCTCAGTTTGGAAGCAGGCACAGCAATGCAGGTGAGGTATGGCGATGGTTTGGACTTCTTGATGAAGGAGATGAGTAGTAGTCAGATTCAAGATATAATTTTAGGGTACAGGTTGATGAATTGGATGTAGAGAAAGAATGAGTAGATTGGGAAAACATTTTCAACACAAATGGCAGATAAAAACTTAATATGCAAAAACACATAAAACTGAGTAAGACAAAGGGCAAACCACCAGTTTGAAAAGCAATTAAATCACAGGAGAGAAAATTCAAAATACGATTAAACTTATGAAAAAATGTTCAGTCTCACTAGTAGTCAGGAAAATACAATTAAAGAAACAGTTAGATACCACTTTTCTCAATAGACAAAGATTAAAAATAGCTACCGCTTCCAGCACCAGTGCAAGTATGGGGAAGATAGGACTCTCATATCTTCCTGTAGGAATATGAATTATTACAAATTTGGGGAAAAGGAATTAGGTAATATCTATTAACATTAAAATACACATTTCTTTTGATCTGGCAGTTCTACTTCTGGAAATCTATCCTAGAGAAATAAAATCCTGATCATATATAGAGATGTGTATTGCAGTATCATTTGGCAATGGCAGAATCATTTAGCCAAAGGCAAAAGGTTGGAAACAAGCTAAATGTCTATCTTTAAGGAAATGGTTGAATAAGCAGTAATTCATTCACACTACTGGATGCTGTGCTATTAAAATGTTAGATTGATGTGTTGCCCATGATGTATTGTTAGGCGAAGAAGACAAGTTGCAGAATTATGTATATAGTTTGACCCTATTTTTAGAAAAAAATTCCTACATATACTCATATTTGCATATATTTTTATATAAACATGGATTAAGATGTGGAGAGATTCATAGAAACTTAACACTGTGAGTTTTTAATTTTTGAAGAGAGAAACTTAATAAAGATTTGAATAGAAAATTTATTGAGACCTAGCTTACAACGTGTATAATCTGTAGTGTGGCATCTCAGGTTTGACTTCCCGGTCTTGGCAAGTGCTCAAGCTTCTGGATGATGATAGATAAGAGTGTCTTTATTCCTGAAACACTAAGATTACAGGCTTGTATTTCTTCAAAACCACAATTGGAACTTCTCAAGTAGAGTGTAGGAACACTAGTTGTTTTTTTCCTATTCCTGATTGTTTTTAAGGGGGAGAGTAAAGGAATCTCATCAAATATAAAACTGAATATTTTGATCAATTTTTCAGCTTATTCTTTTATTCCTTTGGATCCTGTTTTTTCCTTCTATATCTTGTCCCCTTTCTCGGTTCCCTGTATTCACTTCCTTGATATGTCAGTTATAACCTAGGGTGAGAGATATTTAGGGGAAAATGGGAAATTGCATTTTTTTATTTTTATTTTTTGAGACAGAGTCTCACTCTGTCGCCCAGGCTGGAGTGCAGTGGCACGATCTCGGCTCACTGTAACCTCTGCCTCCCGGGTTCAAGCAATTCTCCTGCCTCAGCCTCCTGAGTAGCTGGGACTACAGGTGTGCACCACCACGCCTGGCTAATTTTTGTATTTTTAGTAGAGACGGGTTTCCCCATGTTGGCCAGGCTGGTCTTGAACTTCTGATCTCATGATCTACCCTCCTCGGCCTCCCAAAGTGCTGGAATTACAGACATGAGCCCCACACCCAGCCAGGAAATTGCATTTTTAATGCACTACTAACTCAGGGAGTCTTTAATTGGGATAGGAGCCGCATTAACTGATTTTACATAAATTGTTTGTTTCCTAATATTTTGTGTTTCTCATTCAGCTTCATTATCTCTAAACTCACCTTTCTGCTTTTCTTTCCTATGTTCTGCTCCTAAATGAAAAATGACTAATTGAATTGACTTCTATTCCATTCTTGTGAACAGGACATTTGACATTTGTATTAGTTTATTTGCAAAACAAAATTTACTATTGATTTCTTAAGGTAAGTTTCACATTCCTACTTTTATATTGCCACTATCTTAGAAGTATATATTTATGTATTTTCTTAAAATTTTCATCATTTTGTTAAACATGGTGTCATTTTGATAGCTTGTCCTTTCTCCCTTCCTTTGTTTGGGGTCCTTTAAGATTTCCACATGTGTATCTTTACAGGAGGGTTAACAATTGCTTTAAATTTGTCAGTTTTTCAGTGGCCTTTAGAAAATGGTCCACAGAATTTTTATAGTTGGGGTATTCTATTGTATGATTTACTTGCCTTCAAAGACCTAGTGGGAGTGCAAATGTTTTGACCCCAAGTTAGAAGTTATGGAGAAGATACAGGGAGGTTTCTATAGATCTATCTCTTCTGAATTCTTGCTTCAGTGGGACATACACACAGATATGGAGTCAGCTGAGCTGGGTTGCTGAAGCCTATCTACTGTTTTTTAGTAATTGCCTTGACAAGGTCCCTGCTTCTTACCAGAAATCTGAGAGAAGTTGAATTAGTCATACCCTTCTAAAACCTAGTAGTGGCTGGGCACAGTGGCTCACGCCTGTAATCCCAGCACTTTGGGAGGCTGAGGCGGTGGATCACCTGAGGTCAGGAGTTTGAGACCAGCCTGGACAACATGGTGAAACCCCATCTCTACTAAAAATACACTAATTAGCTGGGCTTGGTGGTGCACTCCTGTAATCCCAGCTACTTAGGAGGCTGAGGCATGAGAATCGCTTGAACCCAGGAGGAGGAGGTTGCAGTGAGCCAAGATCATGCCACTGCACTCCAGCCTGGGTGAAGAGTGAGGAAAAACAAACAAGCAAACAAACAACCTACTAGTTAGCTGTCACATGGACCAGAGGGGCTATAGGAAAAATGACATGAGAATGATGAAAATCTAATACTTTTAACTATGTGAAAATCTTTCTGGTCAAAAATGTTCCCTGATAACAGCATAATGTATGTAAAAGACATGCCAACAAAGGCTGGTAAAATCTCTAAATGTGTATTTTCCACAGATGACAAAAGCAACTTACAATATTAAAATCCATGTTTAATATCTGTCTTCTTCTCTCTCACTCTCTCTCTCTCTGGCAACTCAGTTTTGCTAAACCTGTGCAGCTCATCAAAGACCTGAGGATTCTGTGACTTCTAAAATTAACATAGGCTTCCATACCTGCGGCAGGGCTGTGAGAACACAGTAGACAGCCATACAGTGGATTAGATTGTGCTAGAAGTTATGGAGATACTCTTTTAAGGTTGTGATTGGGTAGCCTGAAACATTTATGAAACATTTTATACTTTGGGCAGAGACTAATGTCTGGTTTCTCTCCTTTTTTCATCAAACGCCTCCAAAGAATAGCATATCAGTATGAAAAGCTTCCTTGGAAGACATCTAGTTAGTCCAAAGAATTTGATAACTAGAATTATAGACTCTCAGGAAGTCTATTTGGAAGGGACCATAAAGATAACTTATTCCAATTACTCAGCTGTTTCCTGAGTCTCCTCTATGGCATTCTCACTGAATGAGCCTTAAACTCTTGCTTAAACTCTTTGGACCTCCACTTCTCCTTATTACTAAGATAAAATTTGTTACTTTGTACCTTCCATTCACTGATCTCATTTCTTTGGGGCTATACAAAATATTCTAATCCCTTATGAACTTTCACTATTTGAAAGTAATTCTCATTGTTTCCTCATATTTGTCTTCCCAGGGGAATTCTGCAACTTCCTGCACACTTGAGTCTTTCTCTCCTGAAGGCATTTAGTTTATCCACATCCCATGATTGAACTAAATGTATATTCAGGGTGTGGGCTAACCAGCACAGTATTGAACAGTATAAAAATAAAATTTCTAAAAATGATTATTTTAAAATAGACTAAAATAAGTTAACTCTGTTGGATGTTTGAAAGGCACATCCCACAACTACTTACTTGTATCTCTATATTCTTCCTGCTTACCTTCCTTCTCCTAGCTTCCTTTCTTTGGAAAGTGCTCTTTAGAAGTTCATTAGTCAGCTCCAAATAGCAACTACAGTGTTCTTTCAGTCCTTATTTTCCTTGAAGTCTCAGTCATTTTTTTCTCAAAACTCTCATCTTCCTTAATTATTGGAACATTCCACTATACAGGTTTTCCTTCTATCTTCCTATCCCTTAGTTAAATTTCTTCAATATATTACATATAACAAACTCAGTCCTTGGACTTCTGCTTTCGTTAGTCCTGTACTTCCTCCTTTGAAGAACTCACTCTTATTGCTTCAATTGTTACCTGTACTCATCTAATTCCAGATATCTCTTGAATGACAAATGTTATTGCTTATCCCCTTAAAACAATTTGTTGTTCCCTCCCTGTCCCCCAAATTAGTTCCTAGTTTGTTTGTTACCTAGTTTCAAAAGTTTTGAAACCATTGTTTTTTTCACTTTTCCTTACTCCTATGCAGTCAGTCATCATGAAGTAATGATTCTTCTTTGATTTTTTTCCTATTTATTCTCTTTCCATTACTTACTCCAAGTACTTCTTAATTAGATTTACTATCTATGATGTTTCTTTTTCTATCTTATTTTTCACAATCACATGATACAACCTTATTTTTAAAATGATACAACCTTATTGATTTCACTCTGTGTCTCAAACATTGTAGAATGCTTCCAGCTGCCTGAAGAGTAAAATATAAATTCCTGGCTTGTTTTTCAAATCCTTTTATATTCTCCTTTTCAAAATTATACCCCAGGATGCCTCCCATGAATCTTCCGTAACAGCAAAATTGCCTACTGCACCTGGAGCATGGCACGACAGCCTTTAACCCTTTACCTTTCTTTTACTCTTTGTAATTCACTCAGCATATCAACACCTTATCCATCTGCTGTGACATATTGTATACCACTACTCCCTTCCCCATGAAGTTACCACCTCTACTTTCTCATCCCATGATGGATTATGTTGTCCATCTAAACTTTTTGTAACTTAGATTTTACTTAAAAAATTGCCATGTATACATATATCACTATATATGTTATAAGCTACTTGATTGCAGGAGCTTTGACTTGTGTTTTTCTGTACACCCCTTATTGCTAGACCAGTGCCTTGCAAACATTAGGCTTGCCATGAGGAGTTACTGGTTGATTGGTTGGAAAGGCTATCATAGACATACTTGTCAAAGGAAATTACTATATATTTCTTTAATTAAAATGTTTTACTTCAGAAAGTATCCAGTCTTTCTTGACGGAATCATATACGTCTTAACTTATAAAACAAATATTTGGAAACTGAGGTTTGTGGCTGAGAGATTAAAAAGGGTGAAACTTCTGAAGAGCAGAAACTGTGATATGAAGATGAAAGGGATTTTATAATTGTAATCTGTTTAGGCAATGGCTGGGATATGGTTTGTATCTGGAGTATGGGAATCATAATAATCACTTGTCTTATGGGCCTTTAAAAAATTTATCCTTACTCTTCCACTTTTTTGTTGTACTTCCTTCCTGTATTTGCCTTCGCCCTTTTCGAGCCTTTTGATTTTTCACCATTGATTTCTGATTCTCTCTTTCCTTTAACTTTGTCCTTTCCTTTGTCACCTTTTGTGTTTTTGTCACCTTTTTCTTTTTTATTTGGATCTTTCTCTGCATCTCTCTCCTTTTCTTTATCATTATTTCCTTTATCCTCAAAACTCTCCTTCTTTTCTTGGGCTTCCTGTCCTTTTAGTACACCTGACTCACTCTTCTTTACTTGGGATTCCAGTGTTTCTGGTACACTCACCTCAGTGTTCTTTACTTGGGATTCTGGTCCTTTCAGTACACCTGCCTCACTCTTCTTTTCTTGGACCTCTTGTTCCTTTGGCACATCTGCCTCAGTCTTCTCTACTTGGCCTTCTTGTCCTTTTGGTACCTTCAACTCACTCTTCTCTACCTGGGCTTCCTGTCCTTTCAGTACAACTGACTCCCTCTTCTTTACCTGGGCTTCCTGTCCCTTTGAGACACCAGACTGACTCTTCTTTACTTGGGATTCCTGTCTTCTTGGCACACCCATCTCACTCTTCTCTACCTGGGCTTCCTGTCCTTTCAGTACAACCAACCCACTCTTCGTTACTTGGGCTTCTTGTCCTTTTGGGACACCTGACTCACTCTTCTTTACTTGGGACTCCTGTCCTCTTGGTACATCTGACACACTTTTCTTTATTTGGGCTCCCTGTCCTTGTGGTATACTCATCTCACTGATTTTTAGTTGGGTTTCCTGTCTTTTTGGTATTCCAGCGTCACTGTCTACCTTGACCTCCATTCCTATTTTGTCTTTCTCTAAATCAGTGCCTTTTCCTTCTCTTTCTGGCTCCTTTATGTGTGCTGATTTCAAGGATTCTACAGAATTCGTAAATATGATGTCATTCTTTAGTGCTTCCTTGTTTTCTTCTCGGCTATTCTGAGACCTTGCAGTGCCTCCACATTTTAGAATCTGGATTTTGGAACAAGATTTTTTTGCAAGTTCTTCATCCATGTAACCTGTTAATATAACTGAGCATACAACAAAAGGGCGTGATTTAGATATCAAGTATTTTCTCTTTATTTCTATTTTTTTCCCCTTGATACTGGTTCCTTTTTTGTCTTAAAACTGACAAACTAAAATTTTTCTGAATCTCAAGTTATCTAAAATGATGGTTCTCTGTACATAAAATTATAAAAGTATCGATAAAATTCTGGACTATTTTCAATAATTTGGAAGATTAATGAGAGAAAAGGTAAAATGTACTGTAAATGAACTGACATTTGTTCAGTGGATTATGGCTAATGAATAATGCTTAGTGGCTAACAGAGGATGTATTCTGAAAAGAAATAGAATTTGTTTTAAGGAAAAATTGTGGGAGGAAGCAATAATTATATTTCTCAAGACAGAAAAAGGAAACTCAAAAATGCTTTCCATATTGAATAAAAGCATATCTTATTATGCAAAAGTAATAACAGTACTAGCTGATAATTATTAAGTGCTTACCACATACCAAGTACTCACTGCTCTAAGCACTTTATGTATTAAATCATTTGATACTCACAACAACCAGGTAGGGTATTATTAACCTCATTTTACAGATGAAGAAACTGAGGCACAGAATGCTTAAATGAATATGAATAAGGTTATGTAATCAGTAGGTGGTGGAGCTGGGATTTGAATCTGAGTAGTCAGACTCCAGTGTTCAGTTTTGATCATTACTGTAGACTACTTCTTGCAATATCTGCAAACTCTGCAAAAATTTCAGGTCCTTTGATCATGTTCAGGTAAATCAGCTGTTACGTCTCAATTCCTGTGTGATTTAACAAACCTGAATTTATTGGCTTCTGCTAGGTATTTTTTATTTGCTTTTGTTTTTTTTAAGTAATATGGTTCCCTGAATTAAGTAAAAGAAATATCTGAGCCACCAAGGAATTGTGTGGGTTCTTGCCGTGGAGCAGAGGGATGTCTTGCTTTGAGAAAATCTAATATTTAATATTTACTATAGTAGAAAGAATACTGAATATAAAAGCTGAATCAGAAGACTTGGGCTGGGGGCAGTGGCTCACACTTGTAATCCCAGCACCTTGGGAGGCCAAAGTGGGCGGATCACTTGAGGTTGGGAGTTGGAGACCAGCCTGGCCAACATGGTGAAACCTGATCTCTACTAAAAATACAAAAATTAGCCAGGCATGGTGGCACACACCTGTAACCCCAGCTACTCATGAGGCTGAGGCAGGAGAATCGCTTGAACCCGGGAGGCAGGGGTTGCAGTGGGCTGGGATTGCACCACTGCACTCCAGTCTAGGTGACAGAGCGATACTCCATCTCACACACACACAAAAAAAAAAAAAAAAAAAAAAAAAGAAGACCTAGGTTTATTATTCCTGCTAGCTGGGTTTAATGGGTTTATTAAGGTAAATCAGTTAATCCTCAAAGATTCACTGTTTTTATATTTAGTTTGATCTGCTCACTTTGTAGAGTTACTAAATATTGTAGACAAATGTTAAAGTAACATAGCCTTTGGAGACAGACTGGTTCAAATCCTGCCTCCGCACCTGCCTAGCTGGGTGACCTTTGGCAAACTTTACTTTCTGTCTGTAAAATGGGGGCAATAGTAGTAGCTACCTCAAAGAGGTGTTATGAGATTAAATAATGTTATCTAAATAAAAGCACTTGGTACAGTGCATGGGACATAAGTAGTCAATAAATATTGGCCATTACTACTTCCCAATGAGATAGTACAGGAAAAAACTCTCTAATTCAATCAAGACAAGGCATTCTTAGTTTCCAACAAATAATTTACAGGAGTGGTTAATTGTATTACAGGAAAATTTCTTTTTTTTTTTTTTTTTTTGAGATGGAGTTTCGCTCTTGTTGCCCAGGCTGGAGTGCAATGGCACGATCTCGGCTCACCGCAACCTTTGCCTCCCGAGTTCAAGGGATTCTCCTGCCTCAGCCTCCCAAGTAGCTGGGATTACAGGCATGTGCCACCACACCCGGCTAATTTTGTATTTTTAGTAGAGATGGGGTTTCTCCATGTTGGTCAGGCTGGTCTTGAACTCCTGACCTCAGGTGATCCACCTGCCTCGGCCTCCCAAAGTGCTGGGATTACAGGCGTGAGCCACCACACCCAGCCAATTACAGGAAAATTTCTTGCTTAAAAGTGAATTATTGGACTTTTCGTTTTTTACATTTAGGGTTTGATGTTTGAAAAATTGGCATACACATAACTTCAGAATTTTATCAATTATAAAAATGAGGCACACCTGTATTAGATAAGAAACTAATTATAAATCAAAAGAGTTGTTGTAGTTCAGTGTTTTCTTTTATTATTTTCAGCTGTTGACATCCAAATAAAAATAACATTAGGAAAATTACAGTAATGTTTTCTGAACCTTTTTGTATATGTCCCCACCTAGAGTTCTTCATTAAAATATGGTTACTGACATTTTATTCTAGACAATCAATTTTCAGTTTCCTAATGAAAATCAGTGGTAATATATTTCAAGCATTGCTAAATTGAGAAAAATAGTTCAGAATATTTTGATCTTCGACAGTGCTACCAGTGGACACTGTTTTGTTTTGTTTTGTTTAGGGGTATGGTGGTGTGGAATGGTAAGATCATGCTCCGCTGAAGTTTCTAACCTTAAGAATTTCATGGAATGTACTCCTCACATAAGCTGATTTTCCTTAAGCTATGAATATTTTTAGTTTTACTATCCCTTGGGGGTAATTATTTGCTACTGTGTGTAATACTTCATGACTCATTTTAACCTAAATTTACCTTCTAAATTATATAGGCTTTGTAAACCAAAATTAAGTATTATAGGATTTCCTGAAGCACCCAGTGTTTATTCTAGCTACACCTTTCCTAATTTCACAGAATTAAAAAACTTTTTATTCTTTCTCCCACTACACTGAAAAATACCTCTAGTTACTTCTAATAGAATCTTCATACCCTTATTTTAATATATTTGCTGTCATCTTTTAAATCTTGAATTTAATTAACATAGATTAGATTTACAGGATTTATTTTTGAGTAATCTAGCTATCCCATAAAGTGAGGTTCACTTTTATTTCAACTTTGCATTGCAGAAGTAAGCCACAAATCATTATTCCACCACATTCTAAGTTCTTTTCTTCCTTCTCCCAGATTTCAAGATAGTTCATACATCTTTTCCTTCTCTTGGACCTCATAATCATCTAACACATACAGTGTAAATCTTCATAATATAAAGACTTGGAAGCCCTGGCTGCAAGTACATTTATTGCAGGCAGTAGCCCATACTACAAAATTTTAATACAATCAAAAGATTTAATCAAGACTTTGGGGATCATCATAATATATTCAAGCTGAATAAAAAGTAATTATTAAAATTTTTAAATTGGATTAATTTTTGTTAAAGCTAAAAGATATCATGAAATAGCTATCACATTAACAATTCTATCTAAATGATACTTAACATAGAAAATAGAATGTGGGCTTTATTAGGAAACTAATCTTAGGTTCTTAATCCAGTGGTTGTCAGGGAGAGCACAATTGGATCTAGACTGTAAAAGATCTATTCAGTATCAGAGGGATAAATCATTATAGTTCTCAGGCTATGAATTACATTTTAAAAGATCATATACTTATTAGTTGAATGAGGAGGTGAGAAATAAGAGACTCAGTTTGCTGGGATGATGATGTTTGTTGGTTTAATCTATCTTAAACCTTTCTTTGAACATTGACTTAAACCTTAACCTCCTTTTTCTAAAAATATCAACTGGGGCCGATGCAGTGGCTCACACCTGTAATCCTAGCACTTTGGGAGGCTGAGATGGGAGGATCGCTTGAGGCCAGGAGTTCGAGGCCAGCCTGGGCAACATAGTGAGACCCCATCTCTATTTTTTAAAAAAAATAGAAAAACAATCAATTGGGAAAAATGTGTTTGAAAGAGTATATCAATAAGAATATGTCTTTTACAAAAAATTTTTTAAAAGATTAAACAGATTTTTCTCTGGCAACTTAAAAAATTAGTATTCATTAAAAATTTATTACCTCTGGGAAGAGACTTGGCCTGTGATCCCTTCTCAGAGCCCTTGTATTAGTCAGGGTTCTTCTGAGTCAAGTTGACATACAACATCAATCATCAGAGCCCACCTTTTTTTTTTGTAAGAGAAACTCACAAGATCACAGTCCTATCACTTTTTCTATGTGAGGAGAGCATTTGAGGGATGTTGGCGCATTATAATTATTCTGAATGCATACTGTTTCTTGTACCATGAATCAAAAGAAATTAATTTCCCCGGCTGGGTGCAGTGGCTCACGCCTGTAATCCCAGCACTTTGGGATGCTGAAGTGGGCAGATCACCTGAGGTCAGGAGTTCGAGACCAGCCTGACCAACATAGTGAAACCCTGTCTCTATTAAAAATACAAAATTAGCTGGGCATGGTGGCACATGCCTGTAATCCCAGCTACTTGGGAGGCTGAGGCAGGAGAATCACTTGAACCCGTGAGGCAGAGGTTGCAGTGAGGCAAGATCGTGCCATTGCACTCCAGCTTGGGCGACAAGAACGAAACTTTGTCCAAAAAAAAAAAATTAATTAATTGCCCCTTTCAACTTCATCTCCCTGCCTTCCTTTCCCTCCAAACCCACTCTCTTTCTAGTGTGAACTGAGAAAGAAGAATGAGGCTTAAACACGATTAAATATAAGGACATACTTTGTGTTTGTGTCAGTGTTTGGAATGTTTGAAATGCTTGAAACGTGTCTCACTAGGTTTAAGTCTTATTTGCTTCTTTTGATCATATGTTTACAGAATTAAACAAAAGTTATTATTCTACTTTGTTTTGTATGGTTTCCTTGCTTGAAGAGCTGAGTCATATATTAAGTAATCCCAATAGAGATAAATCTGAATCCAGAAAACAGTTAAAAAAGTCAAACATTGATTTAAATGCGGTCTTCTATTTTTAAAAGGATCCTTTTGTGTACATTTAGTTATCCAGCTTTTCTGTAGATGTATATTTGTATTTGCAAACATTCCATAAAGTTTCCTGACTAATCACAAAAAATGCATTTGTGATTCAGTATAGGAGGCAATGTGTTAGTATGGGAAGAGTGGGAAGAGTGTGTATTTTGGAGAT
This sequence comes from Homo sapiens, assembly GCF_000001405.40. Taxonomy (NCBI): domain Eukaryota; kingdom Metazoa; phylum Chordata; class Mammalia; order Primates; family Hominidae; genus Homo; species Homo sapiens. The sequence goes on from NT_167246.2 coordinate 3,604,127, forward strand.
AGGACATCCTGGGTTTAAATCCTGACACCAATGTTTACCAACTCTTTAACCTTGGGTAAATACCTGAGTTAGTTTCCTAATCTGTAAAATGGGGAATAATAATACCTACCAGGCAGGCATATGGTAAGAATAAGAGATGTTACTTTTGTAAGTGCCTAGCACAGTGCACAAATACATAGTCAATGCTCAATACCTACTGTCTTTCAAAGGTAGTTATTTAGAAGGCAATAGAAAGGAGATGGTATTTTGTTTTTAACTAGTTTTTTTCCCCCATTAATATGATTCAGAGGGACTTCACCTATAACTAAAAAAAAGTTCTAAATTCCCAGCAAATAACTAATGGAATTCAGAAACCAATCTTCCTTTCATTATGTTTTCCTGAGAATCAGGGAGGAGATTCTTTTTCAGAGCCTAGAAGATGGCCAGAGATTGTGGCACCCTTTCATATGAGCTTCATCTTCTCTACAGCAATCTCTTAAATTGTAGTTATTTAAAAACTTGGGGCCTGGCACAGTTGCTCACACCTGCAATCCCAGCACTTTGGGAGGCTGAGGCAGGAGGATCACTTGAGCCCAGGAATTCAAGACCAACCTGGGCAACATAGTGAGATCCTGTCTCAAAAAGAAAAGTGGAGGGCGGGGGGGAACCTTGGAAGTTTCTGGAAGATAGGAACATTCAAATTGGCCTTAGAAGCACAGGCCTCTATTTTGGGAGTAGAAACAGACAGGTCACAAAAGAATTAAAAGCAATGTAAAATATCAGAGTTGAGAATAGATATGGAACTTACCCACAGGAGTCAGTGCTAAAAACAAAACACAAAAGAAAGATCAGTGAGGATTTTCTAACTCAAGAGAAACCCACCTTCCAATAGTATCCTTCCTAGGTGAACTTAGAAACAGGACTTGGAGGGAGCACAAAACTCTGTTTCATCCTCAGGAGTGTTGCTGGCCAATGCTCCATATCGCACTCCACACAGAGGGTTATCTTTAGGATGCCATTTAATTAATATAGGCATTTGAAATCTTGGGTAGGTAAAATCACTTCTACTGAAATTCAAACTATTGTATTTCCTGCCTTTCTTTGTTCTTTGATAAGTCTTTCATATGTCTTCTGCAAAACAGTTTTTTGCTCACTGTTCTGGTCCGTTTGAAAAATGTATATTGTTGATCAATTACCAAAATCACATCTAGTCCTGACACATATTCTTTTTGTCAATCTTAGAGGATTTTCTTTTTTAGTAAAAATTATTAGTTGCCAGATTATAGCACAGAGGAAATAGGCTCTGTTGTGATAGATTAGCTGGGAATATATGCTACCAATAATCTTTGGTAGTAAATAACTAGAATCAAACACAAGACCATTATACTTTGTTACAAAAGGAAAATAGATAAGAAGAATTAAAATTGAAATATGAGGAAATCACTTATTGAAGAAATATTGACTGCTGTAAGGTAGAGGAACTCGTAACACAAGAACATTTGGGAAAAAGAACTTAAAGGTCCTAGGCACAGAAATAGGTAAGGCAAGGAAATGATCCAAACTTACTGATTTTTCCAGAACTGTCCACTGAAAGAGATAAAGGCAAACACATCAGTAGGTACTGGGCATTCCCTTCTTCCCAGTCCCCAAACCTCTGCATTGAGTGGGATCTGTGTCATTAACAACTAAATTTCATTTATTTAAATGTGAAGAAACTTCATTTCCCTTCCCCCTTCTCTTTGCCCAGTGTAGTTTACAAAGACCTTGTGATAAGCTACTTTAAATCACCTTTACTTATCATTGATCATTATCAATTTTGTCTAGAATGTCAAGATTACAATTTATAAAATATAGGACATATAATGGTCTTGCTTAGAAGATGTGTGCTAACATTATTTTTTGACATTGATACGAATTTTTTTTTAATATATTTTTTTGAGACAGGGTCTCAGTCTCCCAGGCTGCAGTGCAGTGGCATGAACATGGCTCACTGCAGCTTCCACTTCCGGGGTTCAAGCGATCCTCCAGTTTCAGCCTCCTGAGTAGCTGGGACTACAGGTGCGTGCTACCACACCCAGCTAATTTTTGTATTTTTTTGTAGAGACGGAGTTTCATCACGTTGCCCAGGCTGGTCTGGAACCCTGAGCTCCAGCGATCCACCTGCTTTGGCTTCTCAAAGTGCTGGGATTACAGGTGTAAGCCACCATGCCTGGCCTGGTACGAAATATTTAAGATACAGTTGTTACCAAGTACTGAAATATAGGTATATCTCTTGTGTTGATGTTACTTGATAAACCTAACATAGAAAGCACAAAATAGGCTGGCGCCGTGGCTCATGCCTGTAATCCCAGCACTTTGGAAGGCTGTGAGGCAGGCGGATGGCTTGAGCCTAGGAGTTCAAGACCAGCCTGGGCAACATAATGAGATCCCCATCTCTGCAAAAAAAAAAAGAAAAAATTAGCTGGGTAGGGTGGCAAGCACCTGTAGTCCCAGCTGCTCAGAAAGCTGAGGTGGGAGGATTGCTTAGGAAGTCAAGGCTGCAGTGGGCCATGATCACACCAGTGCACTCTAGCCTGGGTGAGTGAAACGCTGTTTTAAAAAAAAAAAAAAAGCACAGAATAATAAGAAAGCATGAAACTGTAAGAAACATATACCAGGATTGTTTACCAGAGATACATATGTGGAGTCAGGGTATTTAAAAATGGGAGTTGGCAAAATACAGCCCATGGAATAAATCTAGTTTTTCCATATAAATCTAGTTTTCCAAATAAAAATAGCATCTAGGACATGCTATTTTTGCATGTCCTGTGAGGTAAGAATGGATTTTACATATTTAAATAGTTGAAATCATAATAATAATAATAATAATAATAATAATAATATTTTGTGGCACATGAAAATTGTATGAAATTCAAATTTCAATGTCTAAAATAGTATTTTATTGGGACATACCCATGCTCATTCTTTTATATATTGTCTATGACTGTTTTTGTGCTACAACAGCAGGGTTGAGTAGTTGTGACAGAGACTTTAAGGCTTATAAAATTTAAAATATTTGGCTGGGCATGGTGGCTTATACCTGTAATCCCAGCACTTTAGGAGGCTAAGGCAAGGGGATCGTTTGAGGCCAGGACTTTGAGACCAGCCTAGGCAACATAGCAAGACTCAGTTTCTACAAAAAATAAAAAAAAGTTAGCCAAGCATGGTGGCACACATCTGTAGTCCCAGCTACTCAGGAGGCTGAGGCAGGAGAATTGCTTGAGCCCAGGAGTGGAGGTTGTAGTGAACTATGATCACACCACTGCACTCCAGGCTAGGTGACAGAGCAAGACCCTGTCTCAGAACAAAACAAAACCAAAAACACCAAACAAACCAAAAAACACAAAAACCCAGCAAACAAAAACAAACATAAAACATTAAAAACATTTGTAGAAAAAATTTGCTCACCCCAGCCCTACAAGAAACTAATGTAATAAAAATATATTAGGAACTTACTAGTGTGAACTTGAGGTATTCCTGAAAATCAAAACAAGAAAATAGGTTAATGGCAGCATTTTTGGAACAGAAGTACAGTTCTTTCCTACTCCCAATTCCCTAGTTGTTTTTTCTAGGGTACCATAAAGACTTCTAGCAGAATACAATGAAATATGATGAGACAACAGATCCCTTAGTGTGTTATAAGAACCTGACAGTTTTTACCACCTTTATGTGGTCCAACTTATTGTTGTCTCTCTAATTGAGCTCTCTGCTTTCACCCTTGCCTCCCAGTCAGTTCCCAGTACAGCAGTTAGCGGGACCCTTTTAAAGTGTCAGCAAGACTCCTGCTTAAGAGCCACCAATGGTTCCCCATCTTGGTTTAACAAAAGTCAAAATCACAACAGTGGCTTTCAAAGATGGCCCTGGAAGATCTGTCCCTCCAAATCTCTCTTATAGCTTCTTTTTATGTCACTTTTCATTCTGTTCCAGCTATATGGTACTTGCTATCTTGCTTTTCCTCAAATAGTCTGGAAATGTTCCTACCCTAGGGTGGTTTACTTGTTGTCTTCTCTGATTGAAATATTCCCCCCTCAGATATTGCCTGGCTAATTCTCTCACCTATTTCATGTTCCATCTAGTAGTTATAGCAATTGCTGAGAATGAGGCATTAAACTTTCCAACTGTAGTTGTGGGTTTTTCTGTTTCTCTTCAGTTCTAGTACGTGTTTTTTTTTTTCCCAGTGTGTTTTGAAGCACTGTTGTTTGGTTCATACATATGTAGAATTTCTTTGTCTTCTTGATGCATTGATATTTTTATCATGATATAATGTCCCTCTTTTGTCCCTGGTAAATTTCTTTGCATTTAGGTCCACTTTACGTGATATTAATGTAGCCACATCTGCCTTTTTTTTTGAAAAAATTAATGTTTCATGGCATATATTTTTCATTCTTTTTACTTTTATTGTTAAATTTGAGGTGACTTTCTTGTAGATAGGATATAGTTAGGTCATGTTTTTAATGTACTCTGGTAATCTTTTGAAAAAATTGGTGTATTTAGACCTACACAAAATAAATTTCTGTGATTTGCCTGATTGTTATGAGAGGCAAGTCCCAATTCTTTCAAGGAGGGGAAGTCAGAAAAGGCTTAATCTCTGCAGCACTAGTGGTCCAAGTTTAGATGTAATAAACTTTATGGAGGAAAAGGCAAAGATCAATCTTTCTTTTTTATCTTGAATTCTATTTTAGTGTTTTCTCTGTTTGCATTTTGCAGTCTGTCCCTTCTTCTACTCCCATTTGCTACATCTTCTAGTTTTTATTATTTCTACCTTTTATCTTTTGGAGTTTCATCTTGTGACCCTGTGGCTTCAGACTGTGATACAAACTTCTTAGTGTATTATTTCCATAGTCTTCCCAGCATATTTTCCCAGCATTATTTCCTCTGGCTTCTCTTTTGCAACTTAACTCTCTAACCAGAAGAACAAATTGATTTTGGTCCTTTCTATGTGGTTTCTTGTTTCTGTGGGCCTTTGACTTATTTAAAAGACAAAGACAGGAAGAAGAAAGAAAGAAAGGAAGGAAGAAGAAAGAACGAGCGAATGAACAAAAGAAAGAAAGAAAGAAAGACCCAAACTAAACCAAAATAGAAACCAAAAACAACAAAAGTGTCAGTGCAAATAAAGGAATCGAGATGCTACAAAAGACCAGAGGAAACTGAGAAAAACAGTAGGAGCTTACTGGTTGCTATTGGACCAATTGCTAAAAATAAAATAAAACAAATCAGTTTTTTTTTAAATTATGTATTGAGTTCCTATTGAAAATCCACTTGGAACACCAGAAAACAGACCTTTGGGAAACATTAAATCTTCTAGGAATATGCTATCTCTTATTAAGTCAATTTTAACTCCACTTTAATAACTTAAATATCCAGGCCATTTTGAATGGCACGTATGATGGGTTATATAAGTGAAGGCCACTTTTTCTAATGAAATAAAATATTTTTTTAAACATTCTTAAACTAGGTCACATTCTTTCAGGAGACTGGCTAATAGTTAAAGGTTACTAATTTATGTTCTCTCTTCATCGTCTTTTTTGTCTTTTCATGTTTTCTCTTCCTTTCAAATCTCTACCATTATACCAGCTCTCACTGTATTTTTTTTACAGTACAGAAAGTTTATTTGTAATTAAAATGTAGTTGAGTTTAGCACCTTTTCTTTTTCTTTTCAGTTTTTATGAGAATTTAAAACTCTTCAAGAGTTAGTAATACTTATTTTAAGTTTTGCTTCTTTTACTTTTTTTCCTATTTCAGTCTCTAATCTCAAAATATCTGTTCTCTTCTTCACCATTCATTGTATTCTCCTTCTAGATTTCCATTACTAAGTTTACTTACTCTTTGCCTTACTGTGGCAGGGCAGGTCTCGCTAACGCAGGCCTCCATAACAACTGTTTCAGCACTGACTGAGTGGTTAAGTTAAATGTTGAAAGCTGATAGAGCCAGGCTAGAATGTAACAAGCCCACCAAGAGTTTGCCTAGGCCTTTCCTGGGCCTTGAAGCATGACAAGATTACGAAGGAATTCTTAACAGGACCCGTTTAGGATTAAAACAAGTTTATTGGGGGGTCTGAAGAAACTCCCCAGGCCTTCACAAACAAGTTTATTGGGGGTCTTCTGAAGGAACTCCATATTTAGCAGGAGACAAGATAAGGGTAATCACTCCAGCACCTGGACCCATTTAGATTAAGTAAATTTACTGAAGCTCTAGAGGAAAGCCTTCAGGACTCACATCTTAGTCACAGATTAGAAGAAGTTAATGACTTATGTCTTTAGATGAATGCACACTTACACGTAGACATATAGCTTAGAAGGTATATTGGCTCTGGAAAACTTTGTAATTTTCAGTTGGTCTGGCAAAAATTTCCAGGCCTTCTCTCTGTACCTACTTATATAAATAAAAACTGTCTTCTTTCTCAGTTCATCTGCATCTCGTTATTGGGCCATGAAGAAAAGCAGCCCGATTCTCCTACCTCAGCCTCCCAAGTAGCTGGGATTACAGGTGTGTGCCACCACACCCAGCTAATTTTTGTATTTTTAGTAGAGATGGGGTTTTGCCATGTTGGCCAGGCTGGTCTCGAACTCCTGACCTCAGGCAATCCTCCTGCCTTGGCCTTCCAAAGTGCTGGGATTACAGGCATGAGCCACCACGCCTGGCCAGGTCATATGTTTTTTAAAGGTCTGTATTGTCAATAAAAACTGGAGGCAAATTGGAACTGAGAAACATTTTTCTTTTCTTTTTTAAGTTGCAGTGCTTGCAAGCAAGTCCTGTCTTCAGAAGAACTGGCTCACTTAATAAGAGACATAGCAGGAGTTTAAGGGGCATAATCTATAAAGTTGGTCAGTTTGCCAATTATTCTCATTGGTGGAAAAATAATTCTCCATCATAATTATATATTGGCAAGGGTCATAACACATTTGTATGACAGTGAAACAGCAAAATAACTAACATGAACTCTTTTTTTGTTTAAAGGACCTTCACCCATTCCTGCATGTAAGTTAGGACAATTTTAGAACACTAAGATAAAATGCAAAAACAGCAATCATGGAATTTTTGAAACTAACTGTACGACTAAGGGGGAATTATGTAAACAACTAATTATGTTTTGTTAAAGATTTACGGGAGCATTGTGACCTGACCAAGGACAAAGACGTTCCCAACCTCCTCTGACTCTTGCTGGCATCCAGATCTCTGTGTTCCTCAGTCATCTCTTGATTCTAACTCCTGCGCATAATTTCCCCATATCCCCCCTCCCATAGAAACCCTCCAGCCAGCCTGAAAGACATTAGAAGGGTGGTACTTTAGAATGCTGGTTCTCCATCTTCTCGGTTTGCTGACTCTCCAATATAATCTGCTTTTCATCCCACCAACCCTTGTCTCTCATGTCTGGCTTTTCAGCTGCAAGCAGCCAAACCTGGGTTTGGTTACTTACATTTATGTGTATCAATATTGTAAAAATCAGCACTAAAATTGTTTCCATTAGGAAGCCAGCAATGTAAAGCATATGAACTTAAGCCTTTATTTTAGGTTGCAGTGCTAAATGGAACTATTATTCAATTTAAGAACATATAAAGCAAGTTGTCTGTCCCTCCCTCCCTCCTTCTCTCCTTCCCTTCCTTCTGGTTTTCTTTCCTTCTTTTTTCACCTCCTGCCATCCTCAGTTTATCTCATGATACAAGGTTTTTCTGACTGTCATGTTTAATGTCAAGTGCTCAGGCAAAATAGATGATTTGGCTAGGCTAACAAAGTATTCATTTTGCAGTATTTCCATTTTTTTAGTGCATTTTCTTATGATTTTGAGGAAATTTTGCTTTCTCTCCACATTTCTATTTTGTTCCTTGTATTGTTAGTGCTTTTCCTTTTCTTTAATTTTGTTTCAAAATAATCAAAATTATTCTGTTATTTTTAAATACTTTTCATTTCATTAATTTTTGCCTAATAAAAGTAGGACATTTTTATTATTGTGTCCTACTCTTGAGATTTTTCCTTTTTTAATCATCTTGAGCTCATGTTTAGTTCATCAATTTTTATTAATGAATAATTTCTATTAAAACCATTTACCATAATAATTTCTCTCTAAATGATATTTTGGTTGTATCCTAAGTGTTTTGACAAGTAATGATTTTATACTCACTTATTTCTATATATTCTGTAATTTCTCTCACAATTTTGTTTGTAACCTGTGGATTATTTGGATGTATGCTTTTTTGTTTCTAAATATGTATATGTTAATATTTTTTGTTATTTATTTCTGTTTTGTTGCCTTGTGCTCAGAAAATGTGATTTATATTATGTTGAAGTGTACTTTGAAATTAGTTGAGGCTTGCTCTAGTTGAAGGAATTGGTGGTCAAGGTAATCTTTTCCATCTGTGCTTGCTTGGTGGAATGTTCAGTGTACATTACTAGATAAAGCTTTCTAAAATTATGTCAAAGCCTCTCTAGCCTTACTAATTTTTGTCTGTTTATTTTATGAGAGAAATATTATTAAAATATCTTTATTTAGTTACAGATGTCTTTGCTATTTTGTCAGTTTTTGTTTTATGTATTTCAAAGGCTATGCTATAAGCTCACAACTTTCACTTATATTTTATCTGATATTTGCACAATTATATCAAGTTTTGTTTTGTTGTTAATTGCCTGGTTTTTTTTTGTTTTGAGACAGAATTTCGCTCTTGTCACTTAGGCTGGAGTGCAATGGTGCAATCTCGGCTCACCGCAACCTCTGCCTCCTAGGTTCAAGTGACTCTCCAGCCTCAGCCTCTCAAGTAGCTGGGATGACAAGCATGTGCCACCATGCCTGGCTAATTTTGTATTTTTAGTAGAGACAGGGTTTCACCATGTTGGCCAGGTGGGTCTCGAACTCCTGACCTCAAGTGATCTACCCGCTTTGGCCTCCCAAAGCGCTGGAATTACAGGCATGAGCCACCGCACCTGGCCAATTGCCTGGTATGTTTTAAAATTCCTTCATTTAAATTTTTCTGTGTGTCACCTTATTTTAGGTATATTTCTTAATAGAGTTTAGCTATTTTTCTTATTTTTTTATAGGAAAATAGAAAAATTAAAAAAATTTAATTCTTTTAATTACATCTGAGAGTTTCTAGCTTTTAATCTGTGAGTTTAATCTACTATTGTATAATATTGTGCTAAGCAACATATTTAGACTTTTTTAACCCTCATTTAAAAAAATTTGCTTTTTCACGCCTGTAATCCCAGCACTTTGGGAGGCCGAGGCGGGCGGATCACGAGGTCAGGAGATCGAGACCATCCCGGCTAAAACAGTGAAACCCCGTCTCTACTAAAAATACAAAAAATTAGCCGGGCGTAGTGGCGGGCGCCTGTAGTCCCAGCTACTTGGGAGGCCGAGGCAGGAGAATGGCGTGAACCCGGGAGGCGGAGCTTGCAGTGAGCCGAGATCCCGCCACTGCACTCCAGCCTGGGCGACAGAGCGAGACTCCGTCTCAAAAAAAAAAAAAAAAAAATTTTGCTTTTTATTTGCTTTCTCTTTTTCTTTTTTCTTGCTTTCTTGTGGACTAATATAGTTTTCTTTCTTCTTTTTATTTTCCCTATGGGTTCAGAAGATGTATGTCACATTTCTATTATATTAATAGTTGTCTTTTATTTTTGCCATAAATATTCAAATGTATATATTTAATAAGATGAAAAGTTAATCAGTACATCTGACCTTTTGTCAAATTATCTTAGTTCATAATCATTAGCCTTGTCTCTAAGGTTTTTTTCCCTAATGCTTTAGGTCTACTCATTTTAAAGCACACTAATATATTTCTCCTTCACTCTCTCCTTCTCCTTCTTTTCTTCCTGCTTTTTTTTTTTTTTTTTTTGACAGGGTCTTGCTCCTAGGCTGGAGTGCGGTGGCATGATCACGGCTTACTGCTGCTTTGACCTCCCAGGCTCGAGCAATCCTCCCACCTCAGCCTACTGAGTAGCTGTGACTACAGGCATGCACCACCACACTCACCTGATGTTTGTATTTTTTGTAGAGACAGGATTTCACCATGGTGCCCAGCCTGGTCTCCAACTCCTGAGCTCAAGCAATCCACCTGCCCTGGCCTCCCAAAGTGCAGGGCTTATAGGTGTGAACCACTGTGCTCAGCCTCTTTCTGCTTTTCCTTCTCCTTCTTCTCTTCCTTCTCTTTTTTTTCTTTATAGTCAACATTTTAGATTTACTGTCATGTTTTGTTGATTTGTTTTCTTACATATGTTTCTTGGTTCTAACTTCTTTTTGAGTTTTTACTCAAAAGTAAACTCCCTGAAGTATGTCCCTTTGATAATTCTTTCACTGGGGACCTGTGTTTAATGAGTTTCTATGTTCTTGAATATACAAAATGACTTCATTTCAGTCTCACTCATAAATGATAATTTTGCTGATTGTATCTTATGGGTTTATAGTAATTTTCCTTCAGTCTTTTGATGATATTGTTCTGTTGTATTCTTTTTAAAATTTTTTTATTTTTAATTTTTATGGGTATATAGTAGGTGCAAGTAGGTACATGAAATATTTTGGTACACTCATACAATGTGTAATAATGTGTAGTAATCACATCAGGGTTAACTGAATATCACCTTAAGCATTTATCATTTCTTTGTGTTACAAACATTGCAATTATATTCTTTTAGTTGTTTCAAAATGTACAATAAATTTCCTTTGACTATAGTCACCCTGTTGTGCTATCAAATATTAGATCTTATCCATTCTATCTAACTATTTTTGTACCTATTAACCATTCCCAATTTTTCTCTCTCCTGACTACCCTCCCCAGGCTCTGGTAACCATCATTCTACTCTCTATCTCCATGAGTTCAATGTTTTAATTTTTAGTTCCCACAAATGAGTATGGACATGTGAAGTCTGTGGTTCTATGCCTGGCTTATTTCACTTAACATAATGACCTTCATTTCCATCCAGGTTGTTGCAAATGATAGGATCTCATTCTTGTTTGGATTTCATTCTTGTTCTGTTGTATTCTGGCACATATTATTGCTAATGAGATGTCTAGTGTTAACATGATTTTTTGCAGGTGATCTGCTTCTCTGGTTGTCTTTATGATTTGCTTTTTAATGTCTGTCAGCTTACTACGATGAGTTTTGGCACATGTAAGTGTGTGTGTGTGTGTGTGTATATATCTGTCTGTGTGTTTTAAAGTTATCTAATTTCAGCTTTCAGTGGACCATTATGATCTGAGGATTTATGTCTCTTTTCTTCTGGAATGTTATTAATTATTACATTTAAAATTATTACCTGACATTTATTCTTTTAATTCTCTCTTATCAAATTCCATTACACCTGACCTCATTCTATTTACAGCTCTTCTTTTTCATATTTTCAATATCTTCTGTGTATTATTTTGAGCTGAGATTTTCAATATTTTCCATGTACTATTTTGAACTGAGATTTCCTCAGTTCTGTCTTCCAGTTTACTCTTTTAAACTGTGATTAATAATATTTAAATATTATTTACATATAGTTACATTAGAATTTATATATTATCTAATCATTGTTTCAATTCTAATAACTTTCTTATTTTCAAGGTTTCAGCTTGGTTCTTTTTTAAATCTGCCTGTTCTTTCTTCAAACTATCTCTCAAATATATATACATATATATATATATATATTTTTAATCTTTTTAGAAAGGATAGTCTTTCTTTTATTCCCCAATAGGTAAGCCACAACCTATCAGAACTCCAGCCTTTCGTGGCCTTTTCATGCTATACTAGCTGTCATATGCCGTATCAGCTGCCTTACCGTTTAAAATTTTATTATCTCCTTCACCTCCTCCATTTAGGCATTTCTTCCCTCCTATCTTATCAAGGTTACTTATGACATTCATTTTGCAAAATTCCTTGTCAGTTCTTACTCCAAAAATTCATTGCTTAGCTGTTTTTGATGCTGTTGTTTATTTTTTCCATATTGAAATACTATCTTCTCTTGAGTGCTGCGAGACCCCCCCTTTACTGGTTCTCCTTCTTTCTCCCTGCTCACTACTTCTCTATATGCATAGTTAGATTTTTCTCATTCTAAACTTCTAAAACTGATTAATCCTTACCCCTTCATTTTTACATATACCTTTGATTATCTAATTTAGTCCAATCGTCTTAAATGTTACCTATATGCTGATTACTGTCTAATTTATTTCCCACCCAATCTCTCCCTAAATCTTCAGACTCAAATATTTAATTGCCTTTTGATATAGAGTATATGCTTGGATGGGGGGCAGAATGTTTAGTGGGATTTTTCTTGTTACTCCCAAATTGACAAGTAGGATCACAAAGCTGAGGAAAAAGAGGTTATAACTTCCCATTACCCTCCTCAGCAAACTGAGGTGAGACAAGCCCTCAGGAGGGATTGCAGCATTGCCAGCTCCATAATTAAAAGGGAAAGGATTCTTGAGGCTGTGCAGTGCAGAGGTGCTGCTCGCCGGCCTTGACATGATGGCCAAATTAGCTCTCCTATCTCAAGTGTCACCCTTTTTCCAAGACAACATAAGCAAACAACTGTAAAGGGCAGGAGATTTAAGAGTCTTTAGAGTTGTGAGTAGTTAACAAAGGAATGGTGTTGTAGGGGAGGAAGAATAGCGCTTTCTTTTTCTGAAGGCAAATGAGTAGCACTTTGAGATTTGCTTACAGTGATTGGGGGTATCTGTGAGAAAGGATGTGTGGCAACCCATCTCCTGGTTGAATAGTGGATTTGTTGATTTGTTTTGTGCCTATCTGAATGAAGGAAAATAAAATTGGAGAGAGACAGTAGTGCAGAGTGTCCTTGTTCTGTGATAAGGATTCTTGAGCCTCCTGAGGGTTCAGTGGGCAGTGCAAAATACATCCTGGCTTGAGCCTTCTTGCTAGTATGTCACTCAAGTGGGTGGCCTACTTGGTAAGGGCATCTCTGCAGTACGAGCAATGAAGTGTATTGCTCGAGAGGGAGTTGAGGGGCTCTGGAATTGGCAAGACTAGAGTCAGTACTCCCACATCAGGGACTAGGCATGGTCGAGTTCTTGTATGTTCCTCCAAAGAACTGGAATATGTATTGTACAAGACATTTGGGTGTCTGCTCTAGATGACATCAAAGGACAGTCAGTCTCAGGTTCTCAGAGAAAAGAACCTACAACTAACAGAGGAAGGAGATTGCATGCCCCAAATCCATCCTCTCAGCCTCAACAGTGGGAATTATAACAACGGTGGGAATTATAGCAACAAGGAGAGTGGACAGGAAGGGGAAGCACATTGTATTTCTCCTCCCCATTCTGAGTCAGTGTGCCTGAGACGGGCCATTAGGAGAGGAGAGGGTTTTAAAGGGGATGGCTTAAGCATTTTAAATAATTTAGCATAACTAGAAAATTATGGGTTCTAAGACATCATTAAATGATAGGAAGGAGACACATGGCAGAGAACATGCTTGAAGCTTGCTAAGGTCAGATTATTTAATTAATTAGTCCTAAATGTTCCAGGCATCTAGAACCAAGCATACACAAAACTGAACTCACAATAGCATCCTATAAATCTGCTCTTCTCCACTACCTAAATCAATAAATAGTTTCATTCGTCAAGTTTCTTAGACCCCAAATCTAGGAGTAACCCTTGGTGTCTTCTTTTTCCCTTAAAATCACATTCAGTCGAACAGCAGGCCCTGTTGGCTTTGCCCCCAAAATAAATAAAATCTGAAGACCTTCTTCCCACTTCCACTCTGATCACTCTTCTCATTGCCACACTCACCTTTAGTTTCAGGCCTCTTAACTGGTCTTCCTACTTGCCCTCTTGAGCCCTCACTCTCACTCCAGTTAATCCTCCACAATAATAGAGTGATCTTTTAAAATTATAAAGTAGACCCTATCATTTCCCTGTTCAAGCCCTTCAGTTACTTCTCATGATGCCTAGAATGAAATCTGCAATTTTTTATTAAGGACTGCAGGGCCCGACATAATCTGGCTTTTGTCGCTCTGGCCCTACCTCCTGCTCTGCCTCCTTCTTTCTAGCCTGGCTGGCTGTTTTGCACCTCCATAGCAGGCCTGTGCATGTTGTACTTGTTCCTTTTGCCTGAAGCACACTCCCCCTTCTATACCATCTTTCTTTAGTCTGTTACTCTTCTTATTTTTCTACATGAATTTATCTGCCTGACATTTACTGTATGTTTACTTGGCATTATTTGCCTGTTTTATCTCAACATATAAACTCCTTAAGTGCAAGGACTTTGTCTTGCTCATGGCTATATTTCCAGTGCTTAGGATAATGCCTGGCCTACAATAGGCCAATATATATTTGTTGAATACATATATTTTTAAAATGCATTAATATCTTTGAAGACTTTTTCTTTTTTTTCCTTTAGTGTTTGACTTGTTCAATGCTGTTAGGTTTCTTATTTTAGTCTTCTTCAGATTGCTCTAGTTATATTTCTCTGGGTTGGAATTCTCCAATTTGTTGGGACTTGTGAGGTATCACTCATATGGTGCTGGATTTTCTCATAGATTTCATAACTTTTAGTAGTTTCTTATTCATTGGGGGCTATCTTTCATGGATATTCTATGATATAAATACCCTGGGTTGTGGATCCCTTCTTGGTGGCTATTGTCCTAACTTCCTGGGTACACTGCCACTGAACCAGATCTCAGCTGTTTTAACTTGGAATATTATGCACACTGCATGGGTAGCACACCTCCAGCAGGGCTCTGCACCCTGGACAGATCTAACTCTGGACCTGTGTGGATGGCTTTGTTTTCATGCCTGGGGCAGATGGGTGAAGATATTTTGGCTTCTCCGCGTGGGGAGGCAGCGTGTTTTCTGCTCCTGGCTTTACTCCAAGTGGTGGAATTCCAGTTTTCTACATGTTGTATCTTGAGGCTTTGTCCACCATCTAGGATCAGGTGTTGAAACCCTACCTTTGTTCCTGAGGCAAAGCTGCTACCTCTGTTTCCTCATCCCCTCACCATTCCTCCCAAGAGCTTAACTTTAGCTTTCCTTTCTTTATATGTGTTCCTATATTCCATTTCTGCTCCTTGGAAATCACTCTTACCCTCCTTCTTTATGCTTAGGTATGACTGTGCATTTTTCATTTAAAAATATTTCCAGCCAAGACTTAGCCAGCCAAAAATGAGGTGTTATAAACCCTAGTTACTTTGGCATTCCTTTTTTCTTTCTCCCTACCCCTCGGGTGTTGGATTTTTACATTATTTCCCTGCCCATCCTCTTTGATGACTCCTCTGAAAAGGACACTATGCATTCAATTTGGGTTCTGCCTTGTAATTTCTAGCTGTGAGACCAATAATCCCTTCTCCTGAACTTTGGTGGGCCTTGGTCTCTGTTCCCAATTATATGGCCCATGTGCAAACATAGACATCTGGAATTTCCAGCTTCATTTCTGGGTCTCAACCACTGAGTATGTATTTTCATCTGTGCAGTGAGAATACTTAGCTGATCAGCCTCTTTGCTCAGGCTTCAGAAAGGTATGTGGATAGGGATTTTGGAGAGACACTCACTTATAATTCTTTGTTGACAGTTCCATTTCTCTTCACTCAAATACCAATGTCTTTGTCCTAACATTATTGAAATTAATAAAATGTTGTTATTATGAAAACTATATCCAGAGTGTGTTTAGAAGGAACTGGAGGAGGATATATAAGCATATTTGAAATCTGTTAGAATAACATAGATGTCTTTCATGTTTAAAAATTGGAAAATTTTACCTACTATCTGGATTAAGTGAGATGCTTTGACAACTCTAGATGTGAATTCTTGCATGAAGAGGTTGGCTGGAGCTGGGCAGCAGCTACCTTCTTCAGACTATGCGTGTCCTCCCAGTTTAACACAGTTCCCAGGAGACTCACCTCAACTCGCTCATTTACTGACCTGCCTGGGCTCTTTTGGCATCTGCGTTTTTAACCTTGACAGGAACTTTGGGTTTTAATATTAATGTGATTTAATTTCAGGATGAGGAATCTCAGCTGATATTGGGTTTGCTTAAATCATTTGTAACTGAGATATGAGAACCAGATTTGCATTTTGGAAAACTAGGACACAGTGTGAAAGGTGCTTTCACGAATTCTATATTAAATATCATCATGGTCAACGCTTGATCTGGTTTAAAAATTGAGTCACTGTTGGTATGTGTTACCTTGGAAGTTGGGTTTAGAACTAAAATAATGGGGCTGGGCGTGGTGGTTCACACCTGTAAACCCAGCACTTTGGGAGGCCAACGCGGGCGGATCACTTGAGGTCAGGAGTTCAAGAACAGCCTGGCCAAATGAGGAAACCCTGTCTCTACTAAAAATACAATAATTAGCTGGGCATGGTGGCTTGCACCTGTATTGCTAGCCACTTGGGAGGCTCAGGCAGGAGAATTGCTTGGACTCGGCAGGTGGAGGTTGCAGTGAGCCTAGATCACGCCACTGCACTCCAGCCTGTGTGACAGAGTGAGACTCTGTCTCAAAACAAAACAAAACAAAAAAACCTAAATAATGGGAAATATTACAGTTATGAATCAAAAAGTTTGTCTTGCAGTCCTAATCTGGAGGACTTTGGGTAATGTAGAAGCAAATGAATATGAGAAATATGAGTCTCAATCTTTTGGATACTTAGAAGTGGAAACATCTAACATAAATCTCCACATATGACCAGCTGAGAAATAAAGAACTTACTTGCAGTTCTCTGCGAAATTACTAAAAAATAAGCAAAAAGAAATCCATTTAATTTTTCTCAAATGGAGAAAACATAGCATTATCTAACATATTTTGTTGGAGTCTGTGAGGGGAGGACTTGTGTGGGCAAAGAAGGAAGCATTCCAAACCACCCTATAGATTAGTTTTAGATTAGTTTTACAATGCAAAACTAGATATAAGATTAGGCAGTGATGATGTGATGAAATCAAAGGTAGGGTTTCCTTAAAGGCCCTCTTCATTTACTGGACCCAACAGCTTTGGGTATAGTCTCGGGTAGAGACTGCCATATCTTTCTGTTTCCTTTGAATAGCATTATAATGTTTGAGAGAACACTGAAAGCCTCTCTCCATTTAAACATCATTATGGATTTCATCTCTCAATAATTCTGCTTACGTGTTATTTCATAATATTGTTCAGTTTATTACTGATGAATCCTAGCTTAGTCCCTCTTTTAATTAGTGTTTAAAAAGATTCTCTGTAATATAGACCATGTAGGGTAATAAGGAAGCAAGGGAATAATGGGAACCACAAATCACTTTGACAGAAGTGAAGTGAAGGGGACCAAAGAGAACCAAAGTAGAAAAAGACATGTAATACTTACTTATAGGTGCTGCCAGCTGACCTAAAAAAATTAGATATCAGTGAAGATTTGTTTGAAAGGAGCAAGTTTCCTTCTAGGGAGAGATATTTGTGTTGGGGAGAATCTTGGTAGTCACACAGCTCTGGATGACAATGGCTAATTCTCTGTTAAAAGCTCCAATTCTTTATGACTGCATTCTTGGGTAAGTATTTGGGTCAGTTTCTTATCTCTTACAAAGGGGTTAGTGGAGTGATTCTAAGGATTAAATGGGATAATGTAATTAAAGCACCTATATAATTCTATAGGAGGTGCAAAGTACATATGTGTTTGAAATCATGTAAATGTAAGCTTCCTTCTCAGGGAGAAGCTAGATTAGCAGAGGGCAGAGGAAACTGGGAGCTTTGAGTCAGGTAGCTGCACACAGAGTTAGAAATGAGTAGGGTAGGCCAGGCGCCTTGGCTCACACCTGTAATCCCAGCACTTTGGGAGGTCGAGGCAGGCGGATCATGAGGTCAGGAGATCAAGACCATCCTGGCGAACACTGTGATGTTCTAAAAATACAAAAAAATTTCTCCTCCCTATTCTGAGTCAGTGTGCCTGAGACTGGCCACTAGGAGAGGAGAGGGTTTTAAGAGGGGTTGGCCTGAGTGTTTTTAATAATTTAACATGATTAGAAAATTATGGTATGCTACCAGGCTACAGTAAGCAAAACAGTATGGCACTAGTAGGAAATAGACACATAGATCAATGCAACAGAATACAGAGCCCAGAAATAAGGCCACATGACTACAACTATCTGATCTTTAACAAAGCTGAGAAAAACAAGCAATGGGGAAAGGGCTTCCTATTCAATAAACGATACTGGGATAACTGGCCAGCCATATGCAGAAGATTGAAGCTGGACTCCTTCCTTACACCACATACGAAAATTAACTCAAGATGGTTTAAAGATTTAAGTGTAAAACCCAAAGCTATAAAAACCCTGGAAGACCACCTAGGCAATACCATTCTGGACATAGGAATGGGCAAAAATTTCATGATGAAGACAACAAAAGCAACTGTAACAAAAGCAAAAATTGACAGATGGGATCTAATTGAGCTAAAGAGCTTCTGCCCAGCAAAAGAAACTGTCAACAGAGTAAATAGGCAACCTACAGAATGGGAGAAAGTTTTTGCAAACTATGCATCTGGCAAAGGTGTAATATCCAGCGCCTGTAAGGAACTTAAACAAATTTACAAGACAAAAACAATCCCATTAAAAAGTTGGCAAAAAAAGGGAATAGGCACTTTTCAAAAGAAGACGTACATGCAGCTCACAAACATATGAAGAAAAGCTCAACATCACTGATTGTTAGAGAAATGCAAGTCAAAACCACAATGAGATACCATCTCACACCAGGCAGAATGGCCATTATCAAAATGTCAGAAAATAACAGATACTGGGGAGGCTGTGGAGAAAAAGGAACAGTTTTACCTTGTTGGTGGCAACGTAAATTAGTTCAACCATTGTGGGAAACAGTGTGGCAATTCCTCAAAGACCCCAAAACGGAGCTACCATTCGACCCAGCAATCCCATTTCTGGCTATATGCCCAAAGTAATAAAAATTGTTCTATCATAAAGAAACACACGTGTGTTTATTGCAGCACTATTCACAGTAACAATGACATGGAATCAACCTAAATGCCCGTCAACGATAGACTGGATAAATAAAATGTACATATACACCATGTAATACCATGCAGCCATAAAAAGGAACAAGATCATGTCCTTTGCAGGAACATGGATGGAGCTGGAGGGCGTTATCCTTAGCAAACTAATGCAGGAAGAGAGAACCAAATACCACATGTTCTCACTTACAAATGGGAGATAAATGATGAGAACACATGGACACAGAAGGAAACAACAGGCACTGGGGCTTATTGAAGGGTGGAGGGTGAGAGGACGTAGACAGTCAGGAAAAATAACTAAGGGGTTCTAGGCTTAATACCTGGGTGATGAAATAATCTGTACAACAAACCTGCATGACACAAGTTTACCTATATAACAAACTGCACATGTATCCCTGAACTTAAAACTTAAATAAAAATAAAGAAAGCAAGTTGATACTACTTATCATAATATTTCCTTACAAGTAAATAAAGGAAAGCTAAAAAAAGCCAACCAAAGACATAATGAAATATTATTTGGCCATAAAAAGAACTGAAGTACTGCTGCATATTACCATGTGGATGAACCTGGTGAACCTTATGCTAAATGGAAGAAGCCAGGCACAAAAGACCTCCTATTGTTTGATTCCATTTATATGAAATGTCCAGAACAGCTGAATCTATAGAGACAGAAAGAAGATTAGTGGTTGCCTGGGGCTATGGTGTGGAGAGGGTTTTGGGTTGGGGGATAGTGGGAAGTGATTGCTAAACAGAGTTTTTCTGGGGGGTGATGAGAATGTTCTAAAATTCATTGTGGTGATGGTTGCACAACCCAGTGAATATACTAAAAAGCATTAAATTCCACACTTTAAATGAGTGAATTGTGTCATATGTGAATATCATCTCAATAAAGCTGTTATTTACAAAGATAAAAAAGATAAAATTATGGGTTCTAATGCATCATTAAGGGACAGAGAGGAGATATTTTCCAGAAAACATGCTTGAAGCCTGCTAAGGTCAGATTATTTAATTAATTAGTCCTAAATATCCCAGGCATCTAGAACCTAACATATGCAAAACTGAACTCACAATAGCATCCTATAAATCTGCTCTTCTCCGCTACCTAAATGAATAAATAGTCTCATTCGTCAAGTTTCTTAGACCCCAAATCTAGGAGTAACCCTTGGTGTCTTCTTTTTCCCTTAAAATCACATTCAGTCGAACAGCAGGCCCTGTTGGCTTTGCCCCCAAAATAAATAAAATCTGAAGACCTTCTTCCCACTTCCACTCTGATCACTCTCTCCTTGCCACACTCACCTTAATTTCAGGCCTCTTAACTGGTCTTCCTACTTGCCCTCTTGAGCCCTCACTCTCACCCCAGTTAATCCTCCACAATAATAGAGTGATCTTTTAAAATTATAAAGTGGGCCCTATCATTTCCCTGTTCAAGCCCTTCAGTTGCCTCTCATGACACCTAGAATGAAATCTGCAATTTTTTATTAAGGACTGCAGGGCCCGACATAATCTGGCTCTTGTCGCTCTGGCCCTACCTCCTGCTCTGCCTCCTTCTTTCTAGCCTGGCTGGCTGTTTTGCACCTCCATAGCAGGCCTGTGCATGTTGTACTTGTTCCTTTTGCCTGAAGCACACTCCCCCTTCTATACCATCTTTCTTTAGTCTGTTACTCTTCTTATTTTTCTACATGAATTTATCTGCCTGACATTTAGTATATGTTTACTTGGCATTATTTGCCTGTTTTATCTCAACATATGAACTCCTTAAGTGCAAGGACTTTGTCTTGCTCATGGCTATATTTTCAGTGCTTAGGATAATGCCTGGCCTACAATAGGCCAATATATATTTGTTGAATACATATATTTTTAAAATGCATTAATATCTTTGAAGACTTTTTCTTTTTTTTCCTTTAGTGTTTGACTTGTTCAGTGCTGTTAGGTTCCTTATTTTAGTCTTCTTCAGATTGCTCTAGTTATATTTCTCTGGGTTGGAATTCTCCAATTTGTTGGGGCTTGTGAGGTATCACTCACCACTCACATGGTGCTGGATTTTCTCATAGATTTCATAACTTTTAGTAGTTTCTTATTCCTTGGGGGCTATCTTTCATGGATATTCTATGATATAAATACCCTGGGTTGTGGCTCTCTTCTTGGTGGCTATTGTCCTAACTTCCTGGGTACACTGCCACTTAACCAGATCTCAGCTGTTTTGACTTGGAATATTATGCACATTGCATGGGTAGCACACCTCCAGCAGGGCTCTGCACCCTGGACAGATCTAACTCTGGACCTGTGTGGGTGGCTCTGTTTTCATGCCTGGGGCAGATGGGTGAAGATATTTTGGCTTCTGTGCATGGGGAGGCAGTATATTTTCTGCTACTGGCTTTACTCAGAGGGGCCTAATTTCAGTTTTCCGCATGTTGTATCTTGAGGCTTTTGCTGTCATTTGGGAGCAGATGTTGAAACCCTACCTTTGTTCCTGAGGCAAAGCTGTCATCTCTATTTTTTCATCCCCTCACTGTTCCCACCAAGAGCTTAACTTTAGCTTCTTCTTGCAATGTGTTCCTATATTCAATTTCTGCTCCTTGGAAATCTTACCCACCTTTTTTATGCTTAAGCTTGGCTGTATATTTTTCATTTATAGATATTGCCAGGTAACACTTTTTAAACTTTTATTTTAAATTCAGGGACACATGTGCAAGGTTGTTATATAGGTAAACTTGTGTCATGGGGGTTTGTTGTACAGATTATTTTTCTACCCAGATATTAAATCTAGTTATTTTTCCTGATCCTCTCCCGCTCCCACCCTCCACCCTCTGACAGGCCCCAGTGTCTATTTTTCCCCTCTGTGTGTCCATGTGTTCTCATCATTTAGCTCCCGTTTATAAATAAGAACATGTGGTATCTGGTTTTCTGTTCCTGCATTAGTTTGCTAGGGGTAATGGCCTCTAGATCCATCCGTGTTCCAGCAAAGGACATGATCTCATTCTTTTTTTGGCTGCGTAGTATTCCATGGTGTATATGTATCACATTTTCTTTATTCAGTCTACCATTGATGGGCATTTAGGTTGATTCCATGTATTTGCTATTGTGAATAGTTCTGTGTTTAACATAACTGTGCATGTGTCTTTATGATAGAATGGTTTATATTCCTTTGAGTCTATACCCAGTAATGGGATTGGCCAGCCAACACTTAGCTATCCAAAAAGCAGGTGGTATAATCCCTAGTTACTTTTGCGTGCTTTTTTTCATCCCCTCTACTAGGATGATATATAGGATCCAAGACCCTATATATCTATTGGGTCTTGGATTTTTACATCTTTTTCCTGCCCATACTCTCTGATGACTTCTCTGAAAAGGACACTATGCCTTCAATTTGGATTTTGGCTTGTAATTTCTAGCTGTGAGACCAGTAATCCCTTCTCCTGACCTCAGGTGGGCATTGGTCCCTGTGCCCAATTATAGGGCCTATTCCCAAACATGGGCATATGGATTTTGCAGCCTCATCTCTGGGTCGGAACCATTGTCTCTGTATTTTTATCTGTGCCGTGAGAATACTTAGCCGATCAGCCTCTTTGCTCAGGCTTCAGAAAGATGTGTGGATGAGGACTTTTGAGAGACACTGGCTAATTCTGTGTTAATAGCTCCAATTCTCCTCTCTCAAATACCAATGCCTTTGTCCTAACATTATTGAAATGAGTAAAATGTTATTATGAAAACTGTATCCAGAGTGTGTTTAGATGGAACTAGAGGGGAGTATGTAAGTATGTTTGCAATCTGTTAGAGTAACCCAGATGTCTGTCATGTTTAAAACTTGGAAAATTTTACCTACTATCTGGATTAAGTGAGATGCTTTGGCAACTCTGAATCTGAATTCTTGCATGAAGAGGTTGGCTGGAGCAGGCAGCAGCTACCCTCTTCAGACTATATGTGTCCTCCCAGTTTTACACAGTTCCCAGGAGATTCACCTCATCTCACTCATTTACTGACCTGCCTGGGCTCTTTTGGCATCTGCATTTTTAACCTTGACAGGAACTTTGGTTTTTAATATTAGTGTGATTTAATTTCAGGCTGAGGAATCCCAGCGATGTTAGGTTTGCTTAAATCATTTGTAACTGAGATATGAGAACCAAATTTGCATTTTGGAAAGGTAGGACATAGTGTGAAAGGCGGTTTCACGAATTCTATATTAAATATCATCATTGTTAGTGCTTGACCTGGTTTAAATATTGAGTCACTGTTGGTATGTGTTACCTTGGAAGCTGAGTTTAGAACTAAAATAATGGGAAATACTACAGTTACGAATCAAAAAGGTTGACTTGCAGTCCTAATCTTGAAGACTTTGGGTAATGTAGAAGCAAATGAATATGAGAAATATGAGGCACTTAGAAATAGAAACAACTAAGATAAGAAAAGTCCCCACATATGACCAGCTGAGAAGTAGAGTACTTACTTGCGGTTCTCTGTGAAATTACTGAAAAATAAGCAAACAGAAATCCATTTAATTTTTCTCAAATAGAAAACACATAGTATTATCTAATATATTTTGCTGGAGTCTGTGAGGGGAGGACTTGGGTGGGCAGTGAAGGAGGTATTCCAAACCACCCTATAGATTATTTGGTTTTAGATTAGTTTTATAATGCAAAACTAGATGTAAGATTTAGCAGTGATGATGTAATGACGAAGTCAAAGGTAGAGTTTCCTTAAAGGCCCTCTCCACTTATTGGACCTGAACAGCTTTGGGCATAGTGTTGGGAAAAGACCACTGGATCCTTGCACTATAATGTTTGAAAGAACACTGAAGGTTTCTCTCCATTTAGACATCATTTTGGATTTCATCTCTCTCTCTCTTTCTCTCTCCACCCCCCTGAAAATTCCTCCTACTTGTTATTTCGTAGTATTGTTCAGTTTATTGTTGATGAATGCTAGCTTAGTCCCACTTTTAATTAGTATTTTAAAAAAATTATAGGGCAAGCAGGGTAATAAGGAAGCAAGAGAAGAATGGGAAACTCAAATCACTTTGACAGAAGTGAAATGAAGGGGACCATAGAGAACCAAAGAAGAAAAAGAGATGTTATACTTACTTATGGGTGCCATGGGTGGACCTAAAAACCAAAGTAGATATTGGTGAAGATTTCTTTGAAAGAAACAAGGTTCCCTCTAGGGAGGTATATTTGTGTAGGGGAGAAACTTGGACACCTTTCTGGGTCTAAATTATGATTCTATGACTATGTATTCTTGAGTAAGTATTTGGCTCAGTTTCTTATCTCTTACAAAGGGATTGGTGGAATTATTCTAAGGATTAAATGAGGTAATGTAATTAAAGCACTTAAATAGTTCTAGAGGAGATACAAAGTAAATATATGTTTGAAATTATGTAAATATAACTTCTTTCTCAGGGAGAAGCTGGATGAGCAGAAGGCAGAGGAAACTGGAAGCTTTGAGTCAGGTAGCTGCACACAGAGTTAGAAATGAGCAGGGTAGAGACAGGTCTCTAAGCCTTGCAGGGAACAACAAGAACAACAACAGAAAAGAGTAGAAAAAGAAATTGAACTTACCGCGGGGTGCTGAAGGTGGACCAGCTGAAAAACAGAGAGGTATCTTAGCAACTGTTTTTTCTCCCATGATATTTTCCTTTCTATGTAGAGAGTTTCTTCTTGGTAGGTCATTATAACAATAGGGAAAACTTTCCCTTTGGTATTCATTTATTTTTAATATGAATCAGCAGAATGCGAACTTTCAAAAAATCATTAATAACTTCATGGAATTTTGATGATAGGAAAGTAAGTGGTTAAAGTAGTATGCACCCCAAGCCTGGAAATCTTAGCTGTACCAGGGAAAGGAGAGATTCCAGAATCCTACGGTGGTGAAAACATGGACATACTGATGGCAAGTGAAATGAATCCAGCTTGCAACTAGACCAGAAACAATTATCTCCTTTTTCTTTCCCCATTGCTCAAATTGTCTTTCAGTTTGTTAAGTCCCTTGTAATATATCATTTTGACCTGCTGATAAACTTTCTCCCCTGCCCTTTATTTTTTAATAAAATAGTAAGTTTGATTTTTTCCATAGAGTTATTTAAAAGGTGAGAGAATGATGTGTCACATGAAAGCAAAACACGGAGGAAATAACAACTTAAAGTTGTTATTTAAAGTTTAGGCTTAAATCCTCTAAAGTCTCTAAAAGGTGATACAAATTTTTCTTAGATGTTTTGGAATTTAAATGTGGAAAAAAGAGACCAGATATGGCAGGAGGTTCAAATGAAAAAGGGTTACAGAAACTTCTTATCTACTCCTTTCTCTCCTACCATTTTTTCCCTTTTTAAGGTAGTCTCTTGTTGATGGGCTTTGAAATTTTGTAAAATTTTTTTCTCTGCTCTGACTTATCTCTTCCCTTTTTGCAGTGACTGGTAACTGCTTGAAATCCTGCAGGGGATTGTAAATTGATAGTCTTAAAACTTTCCAGTACATCATGAATAATGCAGAGAGGTTTTGATAATGAGACAGCAAGAGGCCAAGATATATCTCAAGCCCTTTGTATCCCAATATGGGCAGATAAAGACTCTTGGACTCCACTAGAGACCGAGTCCTAAAGGAGAGAATTCAATGAACACATAGACTTACTGATTGTGTGAGGATGCGATCTGACTGAAAAACAAGCAAAGATACTTTTTGTTACCCCTTTCTTGTTTCTTTTCCTACTCATTTTTTTTTCTATTGGTAAATTTACTAGTGATATACTTGCTTGAACATTTTTTTTTTTAATCAAAGGCACTAGAAATTTCCAGAAAACTAATTATCAGCTGGTTGAATTCTGGATAATGGAAAAACAAAAGGCTGAGAAAATAGAACTTCAAGTTCCATGTTGCAACTCAAGTTCCAATAGACATCAGTGGACTTTGATAAGTGCACCACAGAGAAACAAATAAATAACTGACTAATTGCCTGTATAGATGACTTATCTAGAAAGCAGAAATGGATCTATATCATTTTTCTGTCATTTTTTTTCCTTCTGCATGGAAAGTTCCTAACATTCTTTAGAGTCATGTAAAAACTTTTTTCTCAGGTCTTTATTTTTTATGCGAGTCAGTGAATGTTCTAGAAACTTATTAATAATTTATTTATGCCTTTCTGCCCATGGATGCCATGGAAGAAGCATCATTAAAGTCTCTCTTCTCCTGGCCGTCTTATCTAAGTCAGAGTCTCCTAAAGAGCCAGAACAACTGAGGAAGCTCTTCATTGGAGGGTTGAGCTTTGAAACAACTGATGAGAGCCTGAGGAGCCATTTTGAGCAGTGAGGGACACTCCCGGACAGTGTGGTCATGAGAGATCCAAACCCAAGCACTCCAGGGGCTTTGGATTTTTCACATATGCCACTGTGGAGGAGGTGGATGCAGCCGTGAATGCAAGGCCACACAAGGTGGATGGAAGAGCTGTGGAACCAAAGAGAGCTGTCTCAAGAGAAGATTCTCAAATACCAGGTGCCCACTTAACTGTGAAAAAGATATATGCTGGTGGCATTAAAGAAGACACTGAAGAAATCACCTAAGAAATTATTTTGAGTAGTATGGAAAAATTGAAGTGATTGAAAACATGACTGACCGAGGCAGTTGCAAGAAAAGGGGATTTGCCTTTGTAACCTTTGATGACCATGACTCCGTGGATAAGACTGTCATTCAGAAATACCACAGTGTGAATGGCCACAACTGTGAAGTTAGGAAAGTCTGTCAAAGCAAGAGATGGCTAGTGCTCCATCCAGCCGAAGAGGTCGAAGTGGTTCTGGAAACTTAGGTGGTGGTCATGGAGGTGGTTTCGGTGGGAATGACAACTTTGATCATGGAGGAAACTTCAGTGGTTGTGGTGGCTTTGGTGGCAGCTGTGGTGGTGGTGGATATGGTGGCAGTGAGGATGGCTATAATGGATTTGGTAATGATGGGAGCAATTTTGGAGGTGGTGGAAGCTACAATGATTTTGGCAATTACAACAATCAGTCTTCAAATTTTGGACCCATGAAGGGAGGAAACTTTGGAGGCAGAAGCTGTGGCCTCTATGGTGGTGGAGGCCAATACTTTGCCAAACCATGAAACCAAAGTGGCTATTGTGGTTCCAGTAGCAGCAGTAGCTATGGCAGTGGCAGAAGATTTTAATTAGGAAACAAAGCTTAGCAGGAGAGGAGAGCCAGAGAAGTGACAGGGAAGCTACAGGTTATAACAGATTTGTGAACTCAGCCAAGCACAGTGGTGGCAGGGCCTAGCTGGTACAAAGAAGACATGTTTTAGACAAATACTCATGTGTATGGGCAAAAAACTCGAGGACTGTATTTGTGACTAATTGTATAACAGGTTATTTTAGTTTCTGTTCTGTGGAAAGTGTAAAGCATTCCGACAAAGGGTTTTAATGTAGATTTTTTTTTGCACCCATGCTGTTTATTGCTAAATGTAATAGTCTGATCGTGACACTGAAAAAAATATATATTTGTGTTCTGAGTAATGGAAAAATAAGGGACCAAGGAAATTGGAACATTATCATATCACAATGTGGATGCATACATTTTGGCTTAAGATATGTTAGACACTGCTGGAGATAATTGAGTTTCACTCATGAAGGGAAATGGTCAAACTTACAAGAGGATCCTGTAGCTGAAAAACAAAGATAAATCAACGTGTACAGCCTGCTGAAAGAGGAGCTAGTTTTCGTACTACTTTCCTGAAAGGAAATATCAGAAATGGCAATGGAAGAAACATCCTTCTTAGGTCAGGGGCATAGAGCGCTGTGCTGGGGAATATACCTGCCATCATGCCTTGTGGGGATTCTGCCTTCTGCTTAGTATAGGAGGCTGCAGGAAAGGGAGATGATTGATCTCTTCCCTTTTTGCAGTGAGTGGTTACTGCTGGAAATCCTGCAGGGGATTGGTAATTTCTTTAAACTGTGCTGCCTTTACCTTTCTTCTCCCTATTTCTGCCATCCTGTGAAAGCTTTCATTTATTCATACAAATATCCTTCCCTTCCCTTGTTGACAAGTCACTATAAACTTTGGGTAGTTTCCGAACTTTATCTCTCTATTTTGGGTTTGGTATTCTCCTTTATTCATTCCTTATAGGAGTGGAGCAGCAGCTAAATAGAGGAATAAGCAAAAGAAATGAAGAAATGTGAGTTTCTACACACACAAGACAGAAATGAGCAGAGAGGAAAAGTATGCCAGGCCCTATAGGAAGCCAAAGGCAGCTATCATACAATAGACATGGAACTTAACCAGTCATTTCTGAAGTTTCATCTGGTGGTAAAAAACGGAAGGAACACAAAATGGAGAAATCAACATGTGTAGAACCAAGTGAATTCAGTTCTCCCTTGATAGGCTTAAAGAGGGTAACTGCAGAGAGGATATGGGGGGCCCTAAAATCTGACAGCTCAGTGCATGTCCGGCCTTACGTGCCTTACTTTGTGCTTTGTAGCCTCAGACCTGTTTCTGCTGGTCTGAGGCAGGAGATTGGCTATAAAGTGGTAAAGTGAGGCTTTGTTCTTCCTTCTCATTTCATTTAGGGACAGTAGATGCTTGAAACACTTCTAGAGGTTCATAATGTCTTAAACTTATATGTACTTTTGTCAGTCTCATTTTCTTTTTCTTTTTTTTTTTCTTTTTGAGACAGAGTCTTGCTCTGTTGCCCAGGCTGGAGTGCAGTGGCATGACCTCAGCTCACTGCAACCTCTGCCTCCCAGGTTCAAGCGATTACAGGTACCTGCCACGAAGTCTGGCTCATTTTTGTAGGTTTTTTTTTTTGAGACGGAGTCTTGCTCTGTCACCCAGGCTGGAGTGCGGTGGCGTGATCTCGGCTTACTGCAAGCTCTGGCTCCTGGGTTCATGCCATTCTCCTGCCTCAGCCTCCCAAGTACCTGGAACTACAGGCACCTGCCACCATGCCCGACTTATTATTATTATTTTTTTTTTGTATTTTTAGTAGAGACAGGGTTTCACTGTGTTAGCCAGGATGGTCTCCATCTCCTGACTTCGTGATCTGCCCACCTTGGCCTCCCAAAGTGCTGGATTACAGGCGTGAGCCACCAGTGTGCCGGGCCTAATTTTTGTATTTTTAATAGAGGCGCGGTTTCATCATGTTGGCCAGGCTGGTCTTGAACTACTGACCTTAAGTGATCTGGCCCACGGGGCCTCCCAGAGTGCTGGGATTATAGGCGTGAGCCACTGCGCCCGGCCTCATTTTTTTTTGTGTGTGTTTTTGAGACAGAGTCTCGCTCTGTCGCCCAGGCTGAAGGGCAGTGACACGATCTCGGCTCACTGCAACCTCCACCTCCTGGGTTCAAGCGATTCTCCTGCCTCTGCCTCCTGAGTAGCTGAGATTACAGGCGTGCACCACCACGCCCAGCTAACTTTTGTATTTTTTTTTTTTAGACAGAGTCTCACTCTGTCACCCAGGCTGGAGTGCAGTGGTGAGATCTCGGCTCACTGCAATCTCCACCTCCCAAGTTCAAGTGATTCTCCTGCCTCAGCCTCCCAAGTAGCTGGGACTACAGGCATGCGCTACCATGCCTGGCCAATTTTTTGTATTTTTAGTAGAGACGAAGTTTCACCATGTTGGCCAGGCTGGTCTTGAACTTCTGACCTCAAGTGATCCACCCACCTTGGCCTCCCAAAGTGCTAGGATTACAGGCATGAGCCACCTTGCCTGGCCAAATTTTTGTATTTTTAGTAGAGACGGGGTTTCACCATGTTTGTCAGGCTGGTCTCGAACTGCTGACCTCGTGATCCACCTGCCTCGGGCTCCCAAAGTGCTGAGATTACAGGCATGAGCCACCATGCCTGGCCCTGGCCTCATTTTCTTTAGTCACTCTTGTTCACTAACCTTTTAATTAATTAATTATATTTAAGAGGTACAAGTACAGATTTCTTATGTCATATATGGCATAGTGGTGAAGTCTGGGCTTTTAGTGTACCCATTACCCAAATAGTGAATATTCCACCCAATAATTTTTATTGACTTGAAAAGCTTTCTTCCTACTCTTCTTTACTAGGGCTGTTGCGAGCCACTAATTTTTGTTAAAGTCATTTAAATTTTAATCAGTTCATTTTGCACTTTCTCCAAATCGCTTATAACTTAGGGGAAAGCTAGAAAGGAATAAAATAGCAATATATTTTTCATTTATACACTATCATATTTTTAAATTGTTTACACATAAGGGAGAGGGAGTCAAGCAGGGGAGAAAAGGGAAAGGGAATTCATGTATCCATGTAGATTCTCTGGCACATGGTGGCTATTAGGGAACTGTGGACCAGATGTGACCCTTCCTTTAGCCCCAGTGAGATCCTCTGAGGTGAGCTGGCTTATGTTTATCCTCCCTGTAATAATTATGAGAACTTCCAAGGCTATAAGTCTTGGCAATCTGTGAGTACTGAGAAAAGCAGTCTTGATTCAGGGGAATAGTCAATAACAAATGGCTCTTATTCATTCACAAAAAGGATAGTTAGAACCAGAATTCAGGGCAGTAAATATCCAGTTTTAATGGTCGTAGTGTGGTTGTGTGGGATGCTGCCTGCCCTCTACACATTTTGGGTTTGTTTTCCCAAGTTATCTTATAGGACTGTAAACTCCATGGCGTCAGTGACCAACCATATCTTTCTCTCCCTTATTCATGACTTTATCCTCAGTGCTCAGCTTAGTATCAGATACATGGTAGGAGCTCAGCTAGATGAAGGAATGTTTGTTTGAATATATGTGACTTGCCCTCTGATAATTCTTCCTGCTTGACTTAAACTTTCTAATGCTATCCCTTAATTTCTAGATTCAGAATTTCCCGTGTCCTGGGGTTGGTTCGATGCCCTAGATTTTAACACCAGTTTCTCCCTAGCTCGTCACAATATGAACTTTCACTTTATTCTCTTCCATATGTGATGCTTCTGCCAGTTCCTGTAAATTACAGCCCAATTACTGTTATATCCTGTTCCATGAGGTGCTCTGTCCTATCTTTCTTTTCCTCTCTCTTTGTCGTGCGTGTGTGTGCGCGCGCGCACGTGTGTTGGGGATGTTTGGAGATAGTGAGCCGGATAGGACATGAGGAAAGAGAAAGGCCTTTGGAGAGAAAACTGTAGAACTCAGGTTAGACTAGACCCTGCATAGTATTTCCTGTTAAATTTTGTTGTCTTTTCTCCCTTTTGTATTTATTCTTAAAATTTGATTTTCTTTTCTCATTTCCTCCTCATTGTCTCCTCCATTATCTTTGAGTAGGCCCTTTAGAAACTACAAAGCACTTCAGAACTGGAAAGCTGCCCTTATTATTCTCTCTCTGCTACTTTAGAAAATTCTTGTATATTGTTATAGAAGACATTATGACTATTTCTGGGGACATTTTCTTACTCTTTTTCTTTTAAAAAAAATAGCCCTGGAGAATTCTCAGTAGGTTGAAATCAGGAAGCATAAAAACATGTGTAAAATAACTGCTCTTATGGCAGTGAGACACATCTAGGGCATTTGAGACAGGGAACAGGCCCTCTAGACACTGTAGAAGATCAAGGAACCTGGAGGGAGAAGGATAGATAAGGTACTTACCATTGGATCCAGGATATTGTACTAAAAAATAGAAACAAACAAATTAAACACACACACACACACACACACACACACACACACACACACACACTTCTATTTTTTGAGACAGAGTCTCTCACTCTGTCGCCCAGGCTGGAGTGTGGTAGGGTGATCTTGGCTCACTGCAACCTCCACCTTCTGGGTTCAAGGGATTCTCGTGCCTCAGCCTCCTGAGTAGCAGGGATTACAGGTGCCCGCCACCATGCCTGGCTATTTTTTGTATTTTTAGTAGAGATGGGGTTTCACCATGTTGGCCAGGCTGGTCTCGAACTCCTGACCTCAGGTGATCCTTGGCCTCCCAAAGTGCTGGGATTACAGGTGTGAACCACTGCGCCTGGCCCCAAAACACCTCTATTAGTGATATTTTCCAAAGGCAAGCAGTGAAAATGATTTTCTCAGGAATTACTAAATCTCAGTATTCAGGATTAAATATTTTTCACTGCACTGCTGCTGTACTCTAGCCTCTCCATAAGAACCAGATCTTCTTTTAGGAGATTATTAACCCTGTTTTAGCATAACCACTTCATTCTTGCTTTTCATTGTAGGTGTTGGAGATGAGATCCTTAATTGTATTCCTTTCCATATTCCCCCAGTGTTTTTCCTCAGATCACTCTGTTTCACTCTCAGCTATCTTTATGTTCTTGTTCATTTCTTATATTCTTTTCCAGATTCGATTACACCTTTGCCTTAGGAAGTTATTCTAATGATTACTGACAAGCCACTATAATCATTATTAGAACAATGCCTATCTATTATGAATTTTAAGGTAATGGAATTTCCATTTTCTAAAATATAATTGGTTGCCCAGAGAGATGGTTAGTGTTAATCCAAACTGCACCATTTTGTAAGCCTCCAGCAATTTGAAGACCTTGGTAAAAGTGAAACATTCCACGGGGGTTCGGGCTGTGAGAAACATTCTGCCTAACCACCTGAACACAAGGTGGACAAAGGGCCAACTAAAGAAACATCCCTGTCATATTCAGCTGGGAGAAAGTGCAAGGAACACTACATTCTGCAGGAACAAGGGCCAGAACCCCCTCATCATGGGAACATCTTATCAATATCCTGCCGGCCAGCAAGCCATACTACCCAGACCCCTCCCGCCTATACCTATAAGTACCCCCAGCCTGTAAGCAGCAGTGGGCACTGGCATTAGGCTGGTTCCCCACTTCTGTAGGTCTTATGCTGGACGTAAAGCCTACATTTGCTGTACAGCCGCCACTCTCTCTGTGTCTTTTCTTTAACCCTCGCCTTCCCTCCAAAACCTAACAGTTACGATATGGGGAAATGAAAGTCTAAGAAATATGATTTTCAGCTTCTTTAACCCAGATACTTAAACAGTTGGAGCCAGTCTCCTTCAGACATAGTAAGAAGCCAGTAGAGATAAGTTGATATATACAGGCAGCTTACCAATAGGTCCTGGAGTTTGCACTAAAAAGAAATTCAAATTGGCATATTAGTACAGTTATTTGGAGAGTGTATTTTTCACTAATTTTATCCTAGAAGTGAGGCTTTGAGAGGTAGAGCAGGGGAGAGGAAGTGATATCAGTTATGAGATCATTAGGGAGACTTAATCCAACTATATTAACTATAGAAAAAAGGAAAAAGGATATTTAGCATTTACTGCAATATTTCAGCCCAAGGTGAAGGTTTTTATAGGATCCTTGCCAACCTAAGGGATACTAGGGAAAGGCAAAACTTTGTTATTAGGTATTAACATTACTGATGGTAGGGAAAGGTGAAACACTTCCTGTCAGTAAGAGTAGAAGATATTTCTTTCTCAAGGGACTGTTCTTTCACTAAAATCTTTATTTCTGATCAACTAATATGTTCCAGAGGTAGACATTAGAATAGGAGGTAAGAATCTAGTTTCTTCTTCTCACAGCTTCCAGCTTATTGGAGAGTGATAGAGCAGTGACTGCTGCTTTGATTAGCTTTAGAGTCTGTGAGCAAAGAGTCAACAAAACCTTCTGTTTTTTTTTGTTTTGTTTTGTTTTGTTTTTTGAGATAAGGTCTCACTCTGTCACCCAGGCTGGAATGCAGTGGTGCAATCCTAGCTCACTACAGTCTCGACCTCCTGGGCTCAAGTGATCCTCCCACCTCAGCCTCTTGAGTAGCTAGGACTACAGCTGCATGCCACTATTCCTGGCTAATTAAAAAAAATTTTGTAGAGATGGGGTCTTGCTCTGTTGTTGCTCAGGCTGATCTTGAACTCCTGGTCTCAAGTGATCCTCCTGCCTTAGCCTCCCAAAGTGCAGAAATTACAGGTGTGAGCCCATGCCTGGCCAAAACCTTCAGTTTTTAATGAGAATTTGGCCTTCAGTTGATTTTCTAGCTCTGATCGCCTGGTGACCTGATAAATATCGAAAGCCTGTTATGTTTTTTTTGTTGTTGTTTTTTTTTTAGACGGAGTCTTACTCTGTCGCCCAGGCTGGAATGCAGTGGCATGATCTCGGCTCACTGCAACCTCTGCCTCCTGGGTTCAAGCGATTCTCCTGCCTTAGCCTCCTGAGTAGCTGGGACTGCAGGCGCACGACACCACACCCAGCTAATTTTTGTATTTTTTTAAGTAGAGATGGGGTTTCACCATATTGGCCAGGCTGGTCTCAAACTTCTGACCTTGTGATCCCCTGGTCTTAGCCTCCCAAAGTGCTGGGATTACTGCACCCAGCCGAAAGCCTGTTATGTTATTTAGCAACACTGCTTACATAAGAATGATCCTTGATGTTAGACTGCATCTGAACTGGGAGAATTGTAAATATGTATTAAGAAGCCATAACTTTGGGCTTCCCTGAGTGTAGTGACCCATGTATTTGGTCATATTCCTTACGGGATCCCTGCAGGTAATGTGTATGGGGTTCTTATAGGAGATTTTAGTTCCTGGTGGATCTGTGGGGTTTCTAAGCTAGGTCAGCTCCCAACTCAACTGACAGAAGGCCAAACAGAATAGGTCCTAGGTGGCTATGTGGACACCTGCATAGATCATGGCGAGTACTACTCCCACAGCAGAGGGATAGCTGTTAATGCCCTTGCTGGCAAACTGTGCTTCCTCCCTTAGGTCCTACTGAGTAGACTGTTCCCAGATGAGAGCTATGGTAATCTTCTAAGTCTGCGTGGTTAGTTGAATCTAAAAAGACCATATCTTCACCCAGTGGGCATTGCAGTTAATAATCCTTCACTTCAGTGTCACTCAGAATGAGAAATATCCACATTTTGATCAATAATCCTCGAACTTTTAACTCTGAATTTTTTTTTTCCTGTGTAAAACACCTGGAAGATGGCTTTCCAGATCTGGATACCCTTGGCTATGAGCAGTAAACCAGTTACACATTTAGATATTATGCTAACTTAATAGTTGCTTTGCCTGTATCTACAAATATGTATCTTTGATTCTGAAGTAGAAGTCTTATGATACCTGCCCTCTTGACATAAGTTACTAAATCCTTGGATAGGTGATCACTTCAAAATTTTGTTTCTTCAGTTTTTCTATATTTTCTTCCTTCCTTTCCGGTTTCAATTTGTGACTTTTTGTACCTTTATTTTTATTCTCTTTCTCAACATACTCATTTCCCTTCTTTATTCTCTTATGTGCCAATTCACTTACTCTTTCTGCTTCCAATTTTCTTCCTACTTTTGTTCTTTTTAAATTTTCTCCTATTTATCTCTCTCTAAACTGCATCTTCATTCTGTATCTGTTATTATTTGTGTTACTCATTCTCTCACTTTTTCTCCTCTAGGCCTTTACTACCCTTTAATCTCAATATTAGAACTTCATTTTATTCATTGTTAATAACCTGTTATAACACCCAAAAATGATAGTGGAAAGAATGAAGAGTTAGTAAAACTTCAGTCTTAATTTTATTAACTAACCCATCCTCTTATTTTTTTGAGAAATGACTCCTGACCCTCAGTTTCCTCATCTCTAAATATGGGGATAATAACTGCCTTACTCATTGCCATTTGAATGTTGTTTAGATGCAACAAAGTAATGTACGCGAGGGTTAAAAAAACAGTAGTAAGACATTATAGGGATCACTCAAAGAATGTGACTAGGTTGCTAAAAGTTGCTGAAAATAGAGCCTAACTCTTCTGGAGAGAACTTTTCAGGGCAATTAGAAAGGAAAGGAAGGCCAGGCGCAGTGGCTCACGCCTGTAATCCCAACACTTTGGGAGGCTGAGGCGGGCGGATCACGAGGTCAGGAGATCGAGACCATTCTGGCTAACAGAGTGAAACCCCATCTCTACTAAAAATACAAAAAAATTAGCCGGGCGTGGTGGTGGGTGCCTGTAGTCCCAGCTACTCGGTAGGCTAAGACAGGAGAACGGCTTGAACCCACGAGGTGGAGCTTGCAGTGAGTGGAGATCATGCCACTGCACTCCAGCCCGGATGACAGAGCGAGACTCCATCTCAAAAAAAATAAAGAAAGGAAACTTAAAATTTGCATTATTTTACAAAGTGAAGATAATCTAATAATGGAAAAATTATTTGCATGGAAAGCACAGCAGGAAGTTTAGGTGCTGGGTTCTAAGTCTTTATTAAGTATTGGCTCTACAGAGCTAGATTATATGCTGAAGTGGAAACAGCTTAGGACCATCTCTAGCAGGATATTTTTCACTTTGCATTTCAGCTTCATAGTTAATATATTTTTATTGCAGAACCTGGATGAGTCCAATCTGGAGTACTGGGTGAGATTATGAGGTGGCAGAAGGACTTGATCCTTGAGTCCTTGGGCATGAATAATTGAAATAAAAATAGATTGATGTTCTAAGTAAAGTACTAAAAGGCATTATAATTGAGAATCAGATGACTTACCAATGGTTTTTTGAGAGAGCTCTAAAAAAAAAAGAGAAAAGAAATCAGTAGCTATATATATATTTTATATATACTTTTTATTTATATACTTTAATTTGTATACTTTCCCTAGTAGGAATCTGCATCACTATTGTCAAGTTCAGCTGCAGTTGAGTAGTAGAAATGGTGACTTTCTTGCTATGGCAAACTAGTACATATAAGGGCCTCCTCATCTAAAAATCCCTTGTGTGATGCTGAGAAGCCATTGGAAATCTGCAAGGGTTCATTCTCCACTTTGTAGTTTGTTTTTATTGGTGAGGTGTACATTCACACAGCTAATCATGACTTACTGAAATGCTAGGTTGAAGAAAAATAAGGGTTGAAGAAAATGTGAACTCCAAACCCTTGAAATCCCAACATGGAAACCAGGTAGCGATCCCTAAGATACTGCAGGAAAGTAAAATGCTCACTGTGGAGAATCAGAGAGCAAACTTACTGATAGGTCCTGTAGCTCCGGCTGTGAGAGAGAAAGAGGGAGAAAGAAAAAGATATCAGTATGCTTCACCACTGTGAAGGAAATTTCCATTTCCCAACACTCGCTCTAGGGAGTATCATAAATAGAAACAACGGGAAGATCAAGAGTTGCTTGTATGGCGAGCCTCAGGCAGGCTCCCTGCACAATATAAGGGACCTACAGGAA
This sequence comes from Homo sapiens, assembly GCF_000001405.40. NCBI lineage: Eukaryota > Metazoa > Chordata > Mammalia > Primates > Hominidae > Homo > Homo sapiens. The sequence continues at coordinate 3,641,116 of NT_167246.2, forward strand.
TGGAGGCCTCCTCCTGCTTTCAGTGATGGTTGAAAATCTTCAGAGGGTTGGGAAAGACTCACTCCATATTAATCTGTTATGCCTCTATTTTTCTTCTTACATTTTCTTGCCCCTTGCCCCTAGTTTCCTTAGAGACATGGTTTATTTGAAAGGTGTACCTTCCCTTGCTGATGGATCATTATGACTATTTCTAAGAGGGCTGTTTTGGTTTATATTTTTAAATGTTAGCCTGTGAGATTTCTTAACACTTCGTGCATGGCCTCTTTGGAAACTATGTAATAGGAATGCCAGGGGAGTTGAGAAAGACAGTGTTAAAAAAGCAAGTCACCCCTAAACCTCAGCATCACACAATATACCCATTAGCAAACCTGCATATGCACCACCGGAATCTAAAATAAAAGTTGAAATTATTTTTAAAAATGCAGGGCAGATCAGGCCCCAAGACCTTGTAGGTCAGATATCAAAGGGACCAGAGTGGAAAAACAAACTTGATACTTACGAATAGGGGCTGTGAATTGCACTGAAATACAAAAAGGAGGAAAGTGTGGTTTGACATTAATAGAATTTTCATTTTACCAGTATTGTTTCTAAAGAAACTATGAAGCAATTCAACCAGAGGAGAACAACTACTGTGGGACTGCAGATGATCTTAGCCTGGAAGCTGCATAACCCTCCTACCAGATCAAATCATTCAGCATCCATCTTAAATGAGAAATTTAAGTAACTAAAAATAATAAATATAAATAATTAAAATAAACTACAGTTTTAAACATGAATTATTTGGCTTTCCCTTGTCCTAAACTCAGTAGCAATTCAGGATATTGTGTCTGATTGCTTGGGCATCAGAAGGTGTCAGAAGATTTGAATACAATTAAGAAGTATGAGTGAGAAATCCTGCAGGGGTAGAAATGGTAACAGTTAGGATGTGGAGAGGACCCTATATCCTACAGAAGGCCAAAGAACATTAGAGGAAACAGAAAAGGAACTCACTTATAGGTCTAATAGTTCCAGTTAAAATATGGAAAAAACAAAATAGAACTAATGAGAAAATACTGTTTGCATTTAAATTCTTCCTGGGAAAACATCACAAATGTAGACACCAGGAGCAAAATTTCCACTTCAGTGGAGGAACAAATTAAGTTTATAAATGCTTCTTTCTTCATCTTGGAGGATCCCGGTTACTGGTGGAATCTGCCAGCTGGAACTGTGGAGACGCACATTTGGTCAGGCAGCGTTCCTTCCCCTTTCCCCACGGGTGTCCTGCTTGTATCTCAGGAGATTACACAGGCCATTGCCTGTCTTCCAGCTGGCTAATTTGAACTTGCTTAGCTAGAATCTATAGCCTCATCTGAAGGAGACAGTGGGAATTGCTGTCTCTGTAGTGATTTTGGCCCTTATTCAACAGAGTAACTTGGCCTGCCATGTAAAAGGGAATAGAAACTGCTAGGTTGACTTAAGACATTTATAGGTATGAGTGTTGGGCAAAGGAATTGAGACACTAGACCCACATACTTGTTAATAATGCAGTAACAGTCTTCTTCTTTATGACCACACACACACATACACATACACACACACACACCCCACCACACCTCTCTACACCTCATAGGCTATAAGTGATTCTCTCACCTTGGCCTCCCAAAGTGCTGGGATTACATGTATGAGCCACTGTGCTTGGCCTAATATGTGCTTTTATGATACCTACCCAGTATTTGCTCTCAAAGTTTGACTTGATTATTTTAATAATGTTCCATTTGTGTAAATACTCCAAGAGGAGTAGACACAGGATGTGATATACCATGAGCTTTAATTATCAAATCACTTTTTTTCTCCTTCCTTCAGAGTTAGTCCTGTCTCAGGGGCTCAAGCTCTGAACATCCTCAAAAATGAAGGATAGAAATGTGTTAAGAAGTGAATGAAACCCTGATGAGTTTCATCTTTCTTGTCTTTGGCTTTAAGGTCACTCTTGGTGTGGGGAATCTGCAGGGCTGGAAAAGCTGGTTAAATTTGGACCAAGTGCATTCATCTTTTTATTTCCTCTCTCAGGGCAGAGAATTAAAATCCTGTAGAGCAATGGTTCTTAAACTTTGGTATGCACGCAAATCACCTGGGAATCTTATTAAAATGCAGAGTCTGATTTAGTAGGTCGGGGTGGGCAATAGGCTGAGACTCTGCATATCTAAAACTCCAGGGTGACATTGATGCAGGCCCTTGGACCCACTTTAAGCATCAAGGCCATAAAGGGCTGGCAAAATCTCAGATCATATAAAAGTCATTGTTTCCATTTACCATTTTTTTTCCTTTTTAAATCACACTTCCTCTCACTTATTCCTTATTCTCTATTCCCAACCAGTGCTTCTTCCAGAGATATATGCTACAGTTTCATTTAAAATTCTATCTGGATACTTATTTCAGATTTATTCTTTGTTCATAACAGGGGATATACATCCCACACAAACATCAGTGACAGTCTGGGATCCTCGGTCAGTGAGCTGGGACTCACTGCATGTCACTGAAATTTTCTTGGCGGGTCTTAAGTAGAATGGCCACCATCAAGCCTCTTTCTTTGAGTGTTACTGGGTTTTCTCACAGGGGAATCTTTCTTCCTTTCACTTGACCATTTTTTGTTCTTCACTCTTTTCCCTTTGCTGTTGAATCTCAAGATTTCGGAAAAGTTAAAGGCAATAGTACTTTCTTACAGAGGCACCCCAGTTTATTAAGATAAGAATAGGGAATAAACAAGGGGAAAGGAATGGACAATTTGTGAAAGAAATAAAAAAATCTAGGAATATGAGTGTCTTACATATTCTAACAGTTTAGTAAAGCAAAGCACATGAGAATTAAAGGGCAGAAAAAGAACTTACTCATGGCTCCTGCAGTTCTGGCTAAAATACAAACAAAAAAGGTGAGTTTGAAGAGAGCATGACTCAAGGGTGTTTATCTCAGGGAGTTTCAGATCAAGCATTTACTACATATTTGATTTACATGGAAAGGCAGCAAGAAGGTAAGTAGGCATTTTCCTTTTTTCCTTAGGAGACTGTTAAAATCATACTCCCTGCAGTTATTTTTCTTATTCTTCATTTTCATTATCTTCCTGCTGTCAAATCCTTCTAAAGTTATAGATAATTTTCCCTGGCCCCAGAATCTTTTTCACAATTTCATTAATTAATCTAGTTTTTATTATAAGAATTTCCACTTTGTTAAATGAAAAAATTAATCAGTCACTTAGAGGATCTTGAAATCAGTCTCAAATTCCTCACACTGGTAAAAGAGAGAACAGTAAAATTGCAAGTTTTTCTCCTTTCCTCCATCTTTATGTGCTTTCTCACCACCTTCCCCATTCCTCTGGTAGCAGGCACATTATAGAATATCAAAATCATTACACATGGTATGCATGTATCAAAATATCACATGTATCCCATAAATTTGTACAATTATTAGGTGTCAGTAAAAAAAGGACTGAGTTGTATATATGGGAAACTTACAAGGAGGTTCTTCAGTTGTTTGTAAACATTTTATACTACCTATAATAAAAATTGAAAAGTGTAACATTATTTAGATTTAGACTTTCAGAAGGCATGGAGATAGACAATCCCATTCCCTCCTCCCCCTCCTCAGGTGTGGTACAAACAGTCTTGAGGTTAAAGAGCTGAGTCCGACTTTTGCTATTCTCTAGCTCTGTGATTTTGGGCAAGTCACTAAATGTTTTGAACATTAATTTCCTCATCTCTAAAACAGAAGTTGTGTCCTCTGTCTTACCTATATTGTGAAGTTGCAGTGAAAAATCAGGAGTAATAACAGAAGGGAAAGATGAAAAGTTGTATTAGAAATGTTATGGAAAGAAATATTCAGTAACTATAAATGAATGAAACACTTCGGCAAAGTAGTAAGCTACTTTATATTTTACTTTTTTCTGCTTTAATTTTTCCTCTTATTTCTGACTGTCCTTTGGAAAGTTCTGAGTCCTGACAGCAGAGTATTATAATGTGCACTTAATTCTGTTTTTATTTTTGATTTATTAATTTCTGTTATTTTAATCTTTAAAACAACCCTATCTTCTTGTGTACCTTAGTACCTTAATTATGTCATTTTAATCTCTGTTGCTTCTGTCTTGAGAAATAACCAATCATATTTTAAGATGTTGAAAATTTTGCAATTTTTTTTCTTAAAATAATTGAATAATTTGTTTCCTTCTTTGTGTATAATTATTTTTCGCTTATTTGTTACTTTGCTGTTTTGGGGAGGGAAATAGTAGCTTTCCCCAGAAATGACAGGATCTACCCTCAGCATTTGGGAAGAGATGTCTGTTTTTCTATGTGGTATTTTAGGCCGTCAATCACTGAACTGTCAGTTTCTTGAGAAGGTGAAGCCACTCCTACCACCAAATAAAGATAATTTTAAAAGGACAGTTTTCATATACTTAATTTTTTAAGATTTAAGATATTAACCTATGTTAGGAGTGACAAGTATACTTGAGTTATGCATATTTAATTTTGATCAATTATTAATGACTATCTGGAGATGACAAGAATTTTAGGATACATGTGAGCTGAGCAGGAAAGAGAATCATGATAAATTACTGATTTCTGCCACAGGCAAAGGCATGAGCAGAAATGTAACACAGGTCATATATATTCCATTCCTGACCTAAAGTAATATGGAATAATGAGGAGAAAGGAATTTTTCTTTCTTTTTTTTTTTGAGACAATCTCTCTCTGTCACCCAGACTGGAGTGCAGTGGCACAGTCTCGGCTCACTGCAACCTTCACCTCCTGGGTTGAAGTCATTCTTGTGCCTCAGCCTCCTGAGTAGCTGGGATTACAGGCATGTGCCACCACGCCCAGCTAATTTTTGTATTTTTAGTAGAGATGGGGTTTCGCCATGTTGGCCAGGCTGGTCTCAAACTCCTGGCCTTGAGTGATCCCCTCACCTCGGCCTCCCAAAGTGCTGGGATTACAGGTGTGAGCCTCCATACTGGGCCAAGAAAGGAAATTCTTGAACTGAGTATTTTGTGGCGTTTCCCAGCTGAAGACAAATAAGCAGGGCAGTGGAAGGTATTTACTTGTTGCCTTACAGAGTAAAGAAGAAGATAAAAAAAACTTACGATGTACATATCCTGCCAAAATACTGAATATTGTGTGTTTTGGATTAAGGACATTGTCTCTGTGGATATTCTTCCTAATGGGAGCATCAGAGTTAGTTCTTTTAGAGAGTACCACATTTTCCATACCAGACAGAATTCCTGATTATCTCTGTGGGGATCGATCACAAACTCAGTTGCATTAAGGGGCCCAGCAGGTCTCATGATTGTGAATCTGCTAGTTATAAGGGATAGAGATGGTGAAAAGTCCATGCCCTACCCAGAGGCATTCAAATTCAAAATTTAAAGTAATACCATCCTGACCAAACAAAACACATCTATAGGTGGCACCGGGCTAGTGGTGGCTAATTTGGGAGCTCTGTTTTCAGATGAGAAGAGATTTAAGTGAGCACCATCTATACTTCAACAACAGTGCACTTTGAAATCAGTATCATATGGTTGTGGCCTGAGTTGGGATAGGGCAAGTGAATCCCTTCCTTTTCGTTACTTTAAGGATAGGTATTGGTTGGATCACATTTAATTAAAACCTGTGAGTAATAAACTTGTTCAGATTGTGAAGCATCTGGAAGTTTTGATACCTTTTAGAAAAAATAATGAAATATGATATATTTAATTCCATCTTTGAACAAGAAACAACTTTGCTAGTAGGAAATGTGACCCTAATATGCAACCACAAATGTAATAGTCAGTATGAAAACTTTTGTAGGAAAAGCACATAGATCAGAAAAAAAACCCTGTCCAGTCAGGATTATCTGTTTTGGATTTTTTGCCGATTTCCTCACTTCCCTCCTCCTCATTCCTGTCACAGTCTTCCCTTCATTTAGAAAATGTGTTCTTTTTTTTTTTTTTTGACAATCAATTGAAATCAGTTCCAGAAGGTTTATTTAAACTTTACCTCTTTGGTTTTCCTCCCTTCTCCATTCATTTTTTCCAGCTTCCCTCACTTCTCTGTTCTTTTTTTTTTTTTGAGATGGAGTCTCACTCTGTCACCCAGGTTGGATGGCAGTGTTGCGATCCTGGCTCACTGCAACCTCCTCTCCCAGGTTCAAGCAATTCTCCTGCCTCAGCCTCCCGAGTAGCTGGAATTACAGGAGCATACCACCACGCCCAGCTAATTTTGTATTTTTGGTAGAGACGGGGTTTCAGCAGGCTGGTCTCGAACTCCTGACCTCAGGTGATCCACCTGCCTCAGCCTCCTAAAGTGTCATGATTACGGGCATGAGCCATGGTGCCCAGCCTCTTCTCTGTTCTTTTATTTGATTAATTTTCAACTGGTTGTTGAAATTAGTTATGTAACGGACTTGAAATTTTAATGAGAGATTAAATAACTTGCCTATGTTCAAATAAATAGTAAGTAGGGAGCTGGGATACAACTCCAGTTAGCCTGGCTCTAGAGTCTGCATACTTAACTGCTAGGCAATACTCCTCTGTAAATTGAAAATAATTAACAAGCAAATTTATTTTAAAAGTGATTTTTTAGTAGGTCTTATTATATTATTCTCAATTCATGGAGAAATAGTGTATAGTTCAGATACGAAGTGAGCAATAACTTTTTCCTAAGCCTACAGTCAGAGTGTACAGCATAATTTCCTCCCTTGAAGGTAGGCTGTGATTAGAGAGGGACATAGTCAAGGGAGGATCTGTTTAAGATGGAAGAAAATCAAACCTGTTCTATACCTTAAGGAGAAGCAGTTAAAGGAAGGAAAATATTTAAAGATGTAGAAGAGAGAAGAAATGACTTCTGAAGAAATAAGGGGGTGAGAGGATGTGGTCAAAGGCAAGAATAAAATAATTTGCTTAAGCAAGGTGGGAGGTCTCATTGTCTTAGAGAGGGGGAAATGTGAGAAAGGTGGGCATGATCCAGTTAAGATGGCTAATGAAGGACAAGGTGGAGAATTATGAGTCTTAAGCCCTTTCACCCTGACATAGCAGGAAACAGGAAATAGTTAAGACAGGGAGAAGTCCTCTGCCTAGCATAGGAGCCCAACAACACCAGAGTTTGAAACAAGAAGATAAACTTACTCATGGATCCTTGAGGTAAAGCTAAAGAACAATAACAATTATTCAAGTCAGTCTAAAGTTTCAATAATCCATCAATTTCCCAAAAGTCTTCCCAGAAATAGTGTCCTCCCTCAGGTTATTAGACTTTCCATTCCCCTGTAGGTAGGCTCATAAAGTGGCCACACTTGCAAGTGATCCCATGTCTTTTCCCCCTTAGACACTATGCAGGAGTGAAAGTTTCAGGGGAATATTCAGCTTTACTATATTTCCAATATTCTGATTTCATTCACCACCTTTCTCCTGTCTTTTCCGTTTCTCCCTCCCTCTTTCTTTCATCTTTTCAGTTTGGAGAGTCTTCTTTCCCTAATGTGATAGCCTCAAGAACCAAAGAAAGGCAATGTTACAAAGGTTCTAGTTTTATAAGAAAAGAAAACCGAGATTGAGAAAGGGAAGGGCTGTGCCTGAGTATGCAAAAAATTAAAGGCAGTTTTAGCTTCCAGTTTGCTTGACTTTAAGTTCAGCACGTTTTCCTTCATATTCTTTACAATTTTCTCTTCTTTCTGAATATTCCTTAAACATTTTTTTCTTTAACGTACTGACCATCTTCCCTCTCCAACATTTTGTTTCTGTTCTTTTTGTTCAGCTCTAAAATGTTTCTCTTGTAAAATAACCTAAATTCTAGGGCAAGACTTGTAGAAGGTTTAATGATATTAACTTTGATAGTAATTTGTACAAGCTACCATAGAATGAACCCTCACTATATTCAGTGGAGAAAGTCTGGGCATTAGTCTTATTTGTCTTACATTGACTGTTAAATGACTATGCAAAGTTTGATAATTCTCACCATCTTTTGGAACTGCATTTATTTAATTTAATTTATTTATTTATTTTATTTTATTATTATTGTACTTTAAGTTTTAGGGTACATGTGCACAATGTGCAGGTTAGTTACATATGTATACATGTGCCATGCTGGTGTGCTGCATCCATTAACTCGTCATTTAGCATTAGGTATATTTCCTAATGCTATCCCTCCCCCCTCCCCCCACCCCCCACCCTCCACCCCACAACAGTCGATCAATGACAGGATTTAATAATTTTTCTTCTGCTCAACTTTTATGATTCAATGAGGCTAAATTCACAAACTAAAGCCCTGTGTTCTTGGGCCTTTTAGCCTTAGGGTAAGTTTTGGTAGGAGAAGCAAAAAGGCTGACTTTCTAGAAATAGGGCCTGCCTAGAAAGAGGTAAATAAGGAGGACAAGGTCCCTAGACAAACAAGCGTTTATGGTACTGAAACAACCAAGAACTTGCTCAATTCCCTTGTAAATTGTGCTAGATACCCACATCTCTAAGTGCACGCCAATTGCTTAAAAGCATCAGCGTTAATCCCCCTTTGAAAAGAAGATCAGAAAAAAAATCCCTCACACTACCCTCACCAGGGAGCATCAAATCCTCTATGCCAGCTGTAGTGTGATTTTTTCATGGATTGTTTAGGCATCTTATATTTTGGTGGTGTGGCCGAGGCCCAGAATGACATGTAGGACTGATGATGAGCAGAGAAGGTGATTCCCTTTTCCTTTTCTTCTCAGCCTTTGTAAAGACTGAAACTGTTAAGGAAACTTGGAAGACCTTAGGTTTTTTTTTTGGGGCTGGGGTGGGGGGGACAGGGTTTCACTCTGTTGCCCAGGTTGAAGTTCAGTGGTTGCATAGCTCACTATAACCTCTCACTACTGGGCTCAAGTGATCCTCCCAACTCAGCCTCCCATGTAGCTAGGACTACAGGCATGCCACCATGCCCTACTAATTCTTTTAATTGTTCTGTAGAGACAGAGCCTCACTATGTTGTCCAGGCTGGTCTTGAGTTCCTGGCCTCCAGGATCCTCCTACTTCGGCCTCCCAAAGTGCTGGGATTACAGGTGTAAGCCACCATGCTTGGCCCTTAGTCTTTTTTTTTTTTTTTCTTTTTCCTCTACTTGCTTTTAGGAGGTGGAGGACCTTAGTCTTGATTAAACTTTCCTTAGTTTCCCTATGTGCTCCCTTCTTATTATCTGTTTGCTCTCATTTCTCTTTCCTAAATTGAGAAATAGAAAATAAACTGAAATATGGTTCCTGGAATTGGCACTGAGGAATAATAATAAAAATCCACATCAGTCTGAGTTAATTGGTTTATAAAGTATATAATTCTCACCGAAATCATTTTAGAAAGGGGACCCTTGATTAGGTCTCATTAAGTACAATGGGCCATCAACTACTAGAATGCTTGGGTTTGAATTCTGGTTCCTCTACTTACTAGCTGTGTTACTCTGCCTGTTTTTTTTTTTTTATGCCTAAGTTTATTCATTTTAAAAATAGGATTTATAATATCTACTTTCTAGGATTATTATGAAGAAAAAATGTTTAGGACAGAGCCTGGAGCATAATGCTCAACACATATTATTATATCATCATTTCAGATTGCAGTCCTTATCTGTTTATACATGTATGGGTAATGGACCATAGTCTCCTCTATCTTGGGCACTACGCTAGTTCAAGATTTTCAAGGAAATAATAGGATCAAGTCCTTTGAGGTCCTGGTTTGAGAGGCCCTTTCTCGAGTTATCACAGTCCAGTGAATTGCCTATGAGAATTATCTCTCAAGAGGGCCTCATCCATTCTGTAGGAGCACACGTCATCTTGAGCTTCAGGGATGAATAGCTTCCTGTGGCCCTATGCATCTTTCAGCTAAATACTCTACATAACTAATTACTCATCATCCTTTGAGATTAATCCCAAAATGTGTCATATCCTCATTTTTTTTTTTTTTTTTTTTTTGAGACGGAGTCTCGCTCTGTCGCCCAGGCCGGACTGCGGACTGCAGTGGCGCAATCTCGGCTCACTGCAAGCTCCGCTTCCCGGGTTCACGCCATTCTCCTGCCTCAGCCTCCCGAGTAGCTGGGACTACAGGTGCCCGCCACAGCGCTCGGCTAATTTTTTTGTATTTTTAGTAGAGACGGGGTTTCACCTTGTTAGCCAGGATGGTCTCGATCTCCTGACCTCATGATCCACCCGCCTCGGCCTCCCAAAGTGCTGGGATTACAGGCGTGAGCCACCGCGCCCGGCCGTCATATCCTCATTTAATTTACTCACCATCCAAAGACAATTCCTCATCTTAAGGATGCTTATTATCATAATGCTTTTTATAATTCCTAATCGGACGTTCCTTCCACCTCTCCTTACTCCCTAAAACACACCATGCTGTCTGAAATTCATATCAGCAAATTTTCCTGTATCTTTAACTTCTCCAAACGTTTTCTTCACCGTCTTGCTTTAATATTCCTGTCTTTTAAAATACTGTATCTCAAGCCTGGGTGCGGTGTCTCATGCCTGTAACCCCAGCAATTTGGGAAGCCGGGGAGGGCAAATCACTTGAGGCCAGGAGTTCAAGACCAGCCTGGGCAAGATGGCAAAACCCTGTCTCTACTAAAAATACAAAAATTAGCTGGGTATTGTGGTGCACGCCTGTAATCCCAGCTGCTTGGGTGGCTGAGGCACAAGAATCGCTTGAACCCGGGAGGTGGAGTTGCAGCGAGCCGAGGTTGCACCCTGCACTCCAGCCTGGGTAACGGAGTGAGATTCTATCTCAATTTTTTAAAAAAATACTGTATCTCAGATGTTGCTCAAAGCATACAAAATTGCAGTTAGATGGGAGGAATACTTTCAGGAGATCTATTGTATAACATGGTGATCGTAGTTAATAATGTGTTATATTTGACATTTGCTAAGAGAGTAGATTTTAAGTGTTCTTACCACAAAAAGTATGTGAGGAAATGGATATGTTAACAGCTTGATTTAGTCATTCTACAATGTATACATATATCAACACATTATGTTGTATACCATAAATATATACAATTTTGTCAATTAAAAATTATAACATTTTTAAAAAACCATGTCTCTTACAGCCCTCTTAGATTTTTTTTTTTTTTTTTGAGACAGGGTCTCACTCTGTCACCCAGGCTGGAGTGCAGTGGCGTAATCACAATTCACTGTAGCCTTGACCTCTTGGGCTCAAGTGATCCTCCCACCTCAGCCTTCCAAGTAGCTGGGACCACAGGTGCACACCACCATGCCAGCTAATTTTTTATTCATTGTAGAGACAGGGTCTCACTCTGTTGTTGAGGCTGTGATGTCTGGTTTTTTGTATGTTTGTTTTAGAAAAAATCCATACCCATATACATGCCTGAATGTAGGTAAATGTCATTTTTGCTCCCCATTGCTGTTTCCGAACAGTCTTCTCCAGTAGAAACTCCTGTTGTCTTTGAAGCACATATGAGACTTTACTCTGTACCTCTCTCCTTCTTGCCATCATAAATAAATATGATGGTCATTCTCTCCCATTTCATTCTCTACCAGAAGCCAGGGTTGCCTTTTTAAAGCATAAATGTGGCTTTATCCCTTCCCTGATGAAAACAATGGCTTATTGTGGTGCTCAGAATTGTTCTCCATATTTTATTCTGAAAGACTTTTTGTAATCTGGACTCTCCCTACCTTTCAAACTCCTCCACGATCTTTCACAACTGGCCTTCCTGCAATCTCTCATACATGCTACTCTTCTTCCCCTCTCAGGAACTTGGTGTTCTTTCTGCCTGAGATACTCTTCCCTAAGATCCTCCTGTGGCTGCCAGCTTTTCGCCATTCAGAGTCAGTTCAGATATCTCCTCAGGGAAATTTCTTCTAATCTCCTAGCTAAAGGCCCTTACTTCTTGGTCTTGCTCTATCATATTATCTTAATTTGTTTTCTCCGTAGAATTTACTATGATAGTCTAGTAATCATAGTAGGAATTATCTAGAAAGGGAAATCATTGTATTTGTTTGCTTATGTGTTTATTTTCTGTCTTACCTCACTAGAATCTATGCTGTCTGTGAAATACTTATGTTGTCTTAGGTATAGCAGCTGCAGTGCTCTAAATGATTTCCCCTTTGGAGGGTTTTTATGGCAAGCCTGCCTCACATGGGTCCTCTGCAGATTTTGCTGAAGAAACTGAAGATTTGAGTTTATTGTTTAGCATGTTTCAACTCCCAAATATTTTACCCTTTCCATAAGTTAGATGCAAACAAAGTAAAACTAGATAAAACATGTTTTAATTATAAAAGTAATAAAATATTGAGCTTGATAGCTTTCTAAGGGCACCTGTTCACAGTTGTATATACAACAAAACAGCCTTATTCATGGGATAAGGTTATGGCACAGTATTGGATTAGCACACTAAGTCTGATATTTTATATTAATTTACATTTTAAGATTTTCAAATTACATTTTAAAAATTGAAGTAATATATTTTTAACATATGCATGATTTTCTAAATTCCTTGGAACAAACATTTTATTTCCAAAGAATACTTTGGATTGGAAGAGTAAACACATTTAATGATGTCCTGGGGGTAGTTGGACAACCTCAGGACTTGGAGTCCAAAGGCCAGTGTTTAGAACCTCAGTTTTACTCTTTTGCTAGCTATATGCCTTGGGTCAAGTTAAATAATATCTTTAAATTTCATTTTTTCCTCATGTGTAATATCTGTAAATAGTCAAGAAAGATGACTTGCTTTAATTACAAACCTCTCCTTGTCCCCTACTCCCATTCCCTGATCTCTTCACAAGCCTCTCTCTTCTTCCCTCCTATTCCTAAGTTAATGAATTTATTACTGTTTTGCTGAAACTATGATTGCCAGCTAAAACCATTTTAATCCTCTCTTTATTCTTTAATCGGTGGACTTCTCATTCTTCGAAGTTCTCATTAATTTTAGACAAAATGCTCAATGATGGGGAAGGAAAAGGAGGTGAGGGACAAAATCTCAGCAGGGTTAGGGAATGTTCCTTAGTTCTGTGACACACTAAAGAGACTTAGAATTTGGAAATATGAAATTTCCCTCCTTGCTCTCCTAAAAGTAAATATAAACAAAAAATTCATGTGGTTGTCTGGCTCAAAAACTATCCATTTCTTTCTTTTTTTTTTTTTTTTTGCAGGGGACAGGGCAGGAATGAGTATCAGAACCAGGAACGCCTGGGAGCACCAAACCCTTAGTGTCAGTTGCAGCTCAGGGGGATAGGGAATTAGCCATCTCTTCCATTGCTGCCAGCCTGACTTGGGGATGCCTCAGGGAAGGCTGCCCTTTCGTGCTAGCCATGTAAAGCTTTAAAATTCTGAGGACACAGCTAATATCATTTATCCCTCATTCTATATTATCTTCATCCTCATCTTATTTTTCTTACTAACTTTTTGCTCTTATCCTTTATTTACTCTGTTTTTCCAACACTTCAGGTTTGGAAATTGCTCTCTTCATGTCATCATAATAAACCACTAGAAACTTGCATTTACTTTTGACTGATTATTGAAGTGTCTGGTTATGGAGAACAAAGAAATTGGAGAAATGTGAAGCTTAAGCTTCTGCTGTGCTGCAGCGAAGAAGTCTGGGAAGTTTAGGAAGATATCCTCTTGATTAAATGGGGCTAAATGTCAGCAGAATTGAAGAAAAGTAAAGGAACTTACCAATACTTGATCGAGACAGTGCTAAAATAAAACACATCAAAAGAAGAATGAGTTCTGTTTGTCCCAGGGAGAACTTAGATGCCATAGACACTATATTGCAGAAAGGTTGTGGAAAAGAGGATAGAAATGAGTCACAACTTATTTCCTGGTATCAATTGCAATGCAATGTGGTGAGCAGCTGGATATCTACATATGGATTCCAATACTTTTGTGGTAAGGTGGGACTACAAGATCTATGCAACCTGTCTTTCAATTTTGGTAAGAGAATAAAAATATTTTTGGAGATTGCTAGTTTCTCAATCTGAGGACATTTTTCTGTCCCTATAAGTCTTCTTTCATTGGTGATTCTGCTGCTCTGTTCTTTCCTTCTCTACCTTTCCTCCACCTCTTCCTCTCTCTCCTTAATTTTCTTTCTGTTTTCCCTTTGTTCGAAAAGATTTTTTGTTACACCAAACAATTACCACCTAACTGCTTCAACAGGGGTTTCCACTTTCCAAAATTCACTTGTGCCCTATGGAGATGAAGAATAGCAAGAGACCAAATCAGGAAGTTCTTGAATAATATTAGAAGCTAAAGAGTCAAAGTAGTGAAAGTATTTAGAACCTCGGGGCTTACTGAAAGGGTGCTTGCTATTGAGGGGAATATTTCATCCTCTCCTTTAAGTGATTACTTTGAACATGGTATTTTTTAAAGTTTATAAAGTAGAGCTGAGCTTGAAAACTAAAAAGAGAAGTAATATATTCAAGAAAAATATATCAAGAAGGAACCCATATTCTTGGTAATGAATGAGAAGTTTTACCACCCATGTGATACCTTATTGGGGGACTGAGGCTTAAACACCTGATCACCAGCAGAAATCAAGGCCATAGGCCTCATGCATTGTAAGAACCTGGGATTATCTTCCTGTTTAATATGTTAGGTTACATGGAAAAAGGGAATTAATATTGCAGATGAAGTTAAAGTTGCTAATCAGCTGACCTTAAAATAGGATGATGATTTTGGTATATCTGAGTGGGCCTAATATAATCACAAAGATTTTTAAGAGTGGGAGAGGGAGATAAAAGAGAGTAAGAGAAAGAGGTACTACAGTGGAAGAAGGGCAGAATGGTGTGATGTGAGGACTTGATTCATTTTTGTTCACTTTGAAGATAGAAGAAGGGAGCCATGAACCAAGGAATGTGGCCAGCCTCTAGAAGCTGAAAAAGCAAGGAAACAGATTTGTTCCTAGAACCTCCAGAAAGAATGCAGTCTTGCTGACAACCTGATTGTTGTCCAGGGAGACATATATGACAGATTTATAACCTATGGAACTGATAGATAATAAATTTGTGTTGTTTTAAGCCATTAAGTTTGTGGTAATTTGTTAGAGCAGCTATAGAAAACTAATACAACGTGGTTGACTATTTCCCCAAAATTCCCTTGTAGTTAGGTGTGGCTATATGCTTGAGTTCTAGCCAATCTAATGTTGTTAGAAGTGATATGAAAGTCATCCAGGCTTGTTTGTAAAGTCATCCACTCATGATCTTCAAGCTTTTTTCTTTCTGTTCACTTAAGGTGGACTAACATGATGAACTTAGGAGCCATTATTTGAAGATGGTGGAGTCATTAGTTAAGATGAATTTGAGTGCCTAAGACACTGCTGAGAGAAGGGCCATCCGCCAATCTGGAATTCCTGTTTTGGACTTCTCATAAGTAAGAAATAAAATTCTATTAGGGAAAACCACTGAGATTTTAAGATCCGGGGCTAACTTAATCAGTGCAGATAAGAAATATAAAAGAGAAGTCACAAGATCTGAAAGATGGAAGGAAAATCTTTACATACATAGTAATTTTAGAAGTAGAGACTACAGTTTGTTGTTAGATATAGATACAAATATGGGCAAAATTCATAGCAATTAAAGTTAAATTTTTCTGTAATTAGAAAGATTGAGTCCACAGAATGGAAACTCTTGAATGTTTATGAGTGTGAGATTAACTTCATTTATCCTGCTCAGAGTAAATGGAAGCATTCAGGATTTTCCATTGTGGGTGTGAGATTCACTTCATTTATCCTGCTCAGGATAACCTCACACTCATAAAAAGTTAATCTCACACCTATAAACATTATAATTAAATGCAGAGCACAAAAATAAAGAGAATCTTGAAAATATATTTACTTAGGAACAAACATCAAACTAGTGATAGATTCTTATCAACAATAATAAATAATAAACAACAAGCAAATGGAATAAATCTTCAAAGTACAGAGGGAAAATAATGTTCAATTCTATACCTAGCTAAATTTTCATTTAAGGCTGAAGGTGAAGTAAAGCTATTTTCAGCCATATGAAGGCTTAGAAAATTTTTCACATACATGTAGAGTTTAAAGAACCAGTAAAGGATTGTATTTGGGCAAGAAATAGAAGAGAAAAGACACAGGATGTAGCAAATAATGTTAAGCAAAAACAATGCTGAAATATTGTTGTAAGTCTAAGTAATAATTAATTGTGAAAATAAATAATTATTTTGTCTTTAAAAAGAATACCACAAACAAGATGGAGAATTTGGAAAGAGTAGTTTGGAGGGAAGATGGTCAAATAAAAGTTATTATCTAGTCTTGGAAGAAGATACCGATTATCTTTAATTTTTAAAGAAAAATTAAATAGTACACATGTTACAAATATCAGGATACATAAAACAAAATCCAGAAAAACACTAAGTAAAACAAAAGAAACAAGGAATTCTAATATACCAGCAGAAGGTAGAAAAGAAGATTTAAAAATGAAAGAACAGAGCATAGTACTGTAAGTTGAAAACACAATATAAATTGGAAACATTTAGATAAACATATAACAATTCACAATATAAAATGAACTAAATTCATCTATTAGGAAACAGAAAATTTTACATTGTTAATATGAACAAAGTCAAGCAATATGCCATTTAAAAAAGACACAAGACAAAAACAAACTTTTAAGGTTCAAAATAAAAGGATGAAAAATAGGCAAATACTAATTAAAACAAAGGTGTTAGAACAATGCTAATATCAGAGTGTAGAATTGAAGTAAAAAAATAGTCATGAGGATATGAGTGGATATGAGGATATGAGTTTCAGCAGCATTTAGAAGTTACTTAGATACTTATATTAGAAAATAAGAGCGCCCACTTTGGCAGCATATATACTAAAATTGGAATGATACAGAGAAGATTAGCGTGGCCCGTGTGTAAGGATGGCATGAAAATTCATGGTGTCCCATATAAAAATAAAATAAAAAAAGAAGATGAGAAAGTCTGGAAATTGATTAAGAGTTTCATACAGCAAGCTAGAAAAAGGAACAAAAATAAAGCAAAAGTAAAGAGAAGGAATTTTACCCATAGATATACATAGCCCAAGCTATGACAAGAAAATGGTTTTAAGAATTGGAAAAGGAAACTCAAGATTATCAGATTTTGCAGATGACATGATTTTTTACATATAGAATTCAAAAGAATCTGAAAATTATTAGAACTCTAAGAGCACAGCAGGGTGGCTAGATACAAAATCTACTCTCAAATATACAACATATAACTTATATTCCAACAATAATTATTTGTAAAATCCATGTAGAGAGATAGTATTCACATCCGAAACAAAAAACAAGTATGTGTATAAGAATTAATGCAGCAAAAGACATGCAAGACCTTTCTGAAGAAAATTATATTACATTATTGAAGGGTATATGAGAAAATTTGAATAGTAGGCAACCATGTTAATGCATGGGAATAATTGATTTTACAAATTAATCTACAGGCTCAATGAAATTTCAATGAAATCCTAATATGACTCATAGATTTTGAGAAATTATGAAATTCTTGTGTAAGAGAAAAGGTCAAAGAATAGCCAACACATTTCTGAAAAAGAACAAAGATAATGTGCTATTTTTTGTAATAAATGTTATAAAGTTTTAGTAGTGAAAGCAATGGAGTATTGGTTCAGTAAAAGACAAAAGATCACTGGAACAGAAAATAAAATCCACGGAAAAACGAAATATATAAGATGAAGATGGCATTACAAATCAGCAGAGAAAGAATGCACCAGTCAATAAATCTAGTTGGAACAAGATGAGACGAAATCCCTCTAGTTGGTTTTCCAGATGAAAGGAAAATTAGATCTCACCTGTATTATTACTAAAATCACTCACCAAAACCAAAAAACAATTAACAAAGCCCCATTTGGATTAAAGTTCTATATGTAGAAAGGGAAATTTCAAAACTATTAAGAGAAAGTATTAGATAAAATCTTTGTGATACCCAGATAAGGCCAAAGAAACTAAAAAGCAGAAACTCTAAAAGAAAACAAGAGATTGACAAATTTTATTACAATAAATTGTGTGGTGTTGGGGGAGAGTGAGTAGAGGCCTTCTAAAAGTCAAGAGACAGCATAAAAATTTAAAGCTAAGAGACAGAATTGGATGAGATAATTGCAGATATTTAACATAACATATAAAAGTTGATCTTTCATAATAATAAAGAATTACTACAGATCAATAACTAATAGATAAATGGGTAAAGTAAATGAACAAGCAATTTATATAGGGTGAAGCCTCACTAGCTAGTAAGCCTATGAGAAGATACTCAATTTCAGGAGTGAGCAGGGAATGCAGATTTTAAAAATTGTATACGTATTCAAGTGGCAATAATAGAAAAATATGACAAAATCTGGGATTGTTACTAATGCAGAGAAATTGGAAATATTTATTTATTTTTGTATGCCTCTATGTAACTACCAAGGAGCTTAATTAATAGCTACTAAAATTTAAAATATGCATAAATTACATAAATGCTCATATACAATGTGAACACTAATCCTACTTCAGGGTATGTACCCCGGATAAACTCTTTTCCATCTACTTAAGGACTGTCTTTGCAGCATTATTTGTGATAGCAGAAATTGGAAATATTGAGAATGCATCGGTAGTAGAAATAATAGAAAAACATTGTATATTCATAAGGTGGAATATTATTCAACAAAGTGTATAACCTGGATTTCAAAACTACATTTTGAGAGAAAAATGCAAATCGTAATGATACTATCAGACAGATGCCATTTTAGTAAAATTAAACATTAAAAAAAGATACTATATTTTGTTCAGTGATAGGTAGAGACTATAAATATATGTAAATAGACTTAAATATTTAAAATATATTAATAAGCCTTTGGGAAGAAGGGAGTGGAATATGTCTATGATAACTTGAGAAATATGACAAGAATATTATCAATTTGTCACATCTAAGGTGTGATATACAAGTGTTAATTATTTTTATACTTAATTTTAAAAACTTTCTTAAAAGAGAAAAAATACAGAAAAAATAGGGCTTGCAAACCAGATGACAGTAGAATTGAAAGAAAACCACAAAGCACTTACCTAGAGAGTTGGTTGATGGTGCTAAAATACACACACAGAAAACATGAGGTGAATCATGAGAGTTTGGATCCCTAATCTTTACATATCAGCTTCAGTTGCTGTCACCCCCTTCTCAGGAGTTAAAGTCTAGGCCCCGGGAGTCATCACTGATCTGGTGATGGGTACTGACAGCCACTCCCACCAGCTACTGCATATGCTTTCCATCTCTAAAAATGGGTTTAATTTTTAGTAGGCAGATGCCATTCCTACTGCCCTAATTCCTCCCTCCCTTTTTTCCCTCTCTATTTTCTTCTCTCTCTCCCTTTTATCTTTATTACTTTCCTTTTCTCTTGCTCATCACTTCTATTGTTTTCCTTTTCTCCCAGCCAGATCATTCTAAACCAGCACTAGAAAACTTTATCTATTGCTTAGTATTCATATGACTTGACATATGACAGGATTTCTCTTTCCTCCAAAGCATTTACAATCTAGGGAAATGTTACTAATAGGAAGCAAATTTTTGTTAAGAAGCAAGATAATACTTACTGTAATCTCTTTTGGATCTCTCTGAAAACATAAACAAAAGAAAGAAAAATCAATTTGGATATTCTATTTCTGTAGTTTTGGTATCACTACAGAGGATTACCCAATCAACACCCTCAAATATCCAGTTAGGCAAGAAACTGGAGACAAAATCTCCTCATGGCTTAATTTATAAGTTTAATGACATTAAAAAAACAGGCAGAGTTTAATTAAGGTAAATACATGTAGTGAGAAGAAATAATAAACTATACATGCAAACATTGAAACAGAAGAATGTATAGTTATAAGGTAAGTTGAGGTCAAATAAAAGAAGGAATGGCAAGATATTTACTCAGCTGACTGAGAATTCAAGTTCAGTGACAATATGGCAAATTATAATGAATGCAAATGTGTATATTGATTGCGATTGAATGTGCATCCTATGATCTAAAACTTGTTTCTTAGTGATGTCATGGAAACAGACTTTCTAAAAGATCTGGAGACAAAGCAAATTACATGGAAAACTAGTCATGTTATCACTGTTGTTTTCATAAAAGTGTAAAAGTAAATAGTAATATTGATACTTTGTAGTTGATTTAAATTATGTTGAATCATAATATCATTTGCTATTTCACTAAAGTATAGTTAAAGATCTACTCAGAAATGTGAAGACAATAGTATTTTTTTTTCAGCTTCTTTTCTGAAAATGAGTGCTCTCCTTCCATACTTGGCAGTCATTGTGATGGGAATTAAGTACAAAACACATTCTCTGTTTTATAATAATGTTTCTTGTTTCTCATGGTTCTATGGGGATTTTAAAAACGGTGTCTCAAGCCTGTAGTCCCAGCACTTTGGGAGGCCGAAGTGGGTGTGTTACCTGAGGTCAGGAGTTCGAGACCAGCCTGGCCAACATGGTGAAACCCTGTCTCTAGTGAAAATACAAAAATTCTCTGGGCCTGGTGGTACACGCCTGTAATCCCAGCTACTCAGGAGGCTGAGGCAGGAGAATTGCCTGTGCCCGGGAGACGGAGATTGCAGTAAGCCGAGATAGTGCCACTGCACTCCAGCCTGGCCCACAGAGCAAGACTCTGTCTCAATGAAAAAAAAAAGGGAAAATATATCAAGATGTTAATAGAGTTGCCACAAAAATGGAAAATACCACTGAAATGCCGAACATTTTAATATGCTGCACTTGAAATTTGTTATAAAAACTTTCATGCGCTGCACTTAACATTTGCTAGAAAAATACTAAGAATAAATTTAATTTCAAAAAAATTTTGGAATAACCATGGCAGCTTTTATATGTGATATATTTAAGTTAAACTAAACTTTGAGTACTAAATTTCATGTACCTAAACTAACATAATGACCTTACCTAATATTAATATCTTCCTGCCAGAAGATTTCTATAGTCTCAAGTTGACCAGTACATTTATATTCCTATGTCTAGAAATAATGGAGGGAAGACTAGCAGGGCGTGGGAACCTAGAAACTTAGGATGACTGAGATTTATAGGTTATGTTAGGGGGACTGGAAAGTCAGAGAAATAGTCATTTGGGTTTATGAATTTTAAAGTATGACTTATTGAAACAACAATAAAATGTTTACTGATTCAAGTTTTTCCTTAAGAATGCAAGGGAGCCCAGATTAGAAAGATACTAAGATTGTAGGCTTGTACACTAAAGATCTGTAAACAGGAAATTAAAAATTAAGATATTACTAAATTACATAAGAATAAACTCTCTGACTGCCTAAAATTTGGAATTAGACAATTCTAAATTCCTATCCAGGTTGTCACTTCCAAGTCCTGTGGCCTTGGGCAAGTCATTAATGTTTTTTAAGCATAAGTTTCTCTTCTGTAAATTAGGGATAACAATAGTAAATTACTTTATTCATTTAAGAGGTACTTATTAAGGATCTCCCTCGCTGTGGTGAGGTGAATAGACTATAAGAAGGCAAGAGGAGTATCAAGGAAACAAGGTAGGAGGCAAGAGATATTGGTGTTTGGGCAAGGATTGTCATGGTGGTGGAAGGTGGTTTGATTTGGAGTATAATTTGAAAGCATCAGAGATGGGATTTGATGGTGGATTGGATGAAGAGAGTAGGAAAGGAGTTAAATATCATTCCAAGGTAGATAGTCTGAGCAATTAGGTGAATACAGGTGCTAGCACCAGTGTGTAGAAGGGATTAGGGCTTGGGTTTTAGACATGCTAAGAGTGAGATGCCTTTCATATATCTTCAGGACACGTGTGCTATGATTATATAGGTTGGCTCACTGCACAAAGGGTTAAGGGAACTGAAATCCCCAGCAGTGTCTCTGGGGTGGGGCTGCATTCACTTGCAGGAAGGAACACCTTTTCCTAATATGCACCAAAGCAACCTGTAGGCTACTGGAGGCCTTGGACAGCCAGGGAGGGATTTTTGGGTAGCTCACCTTTGTGTGGTTGACAGGGTTGTTTGTAGATATTCAATATTAATAAAATGAAAAAATGCTCACCAGAATGACTAACATATAGTAGGTGCTGAGTACATGTTAATTCTCCTCCCTTCTTATAGTGTGTAGTTTTATTTTGCTTATCCGTGTACCCTTAAATTCCTAACACTGAGGTAGCTTCTTGCACTGGTTAAATCTGGTATTCTGGTGGACTGTTACTGGAGAGGTTTTTTCCCAAGAAATATGAGATGTAAATGACAACAGTAGACAACAGCAGTATTTCTTTGCACCCTTGGAATTTTATTGCACAAGTCATATCTTAATGTGATGAACTTTTAAGAATTTATTCCTTGATTTCTTTTTATTATTATTATACTTTAAGTTCTAGGGTATATGTGCACAACGTGCAGTTTTGTTACATATGTATACATGTGCCATGTTGGTATGCTGCACCCATTAACTCGTCATTTACATTAGGTATATCTCCTAATGCTATCCCTCCCCGCTCCCCTCACCCCACAACAGGCCCCGGTGTGTGATGTTCCCCTTCCTGTGTCCAAGTGTTCTCATTGTTCAATTCCCACCTGTGAGTGAGAACATGAGGTGTTTGATTTTTTGTCCTTGCGATAGTTTGCCGAGAATGATGGTTTCCAGCTTCATCCATGTTCCTACAAAGGACACGAACTCATCCTTTTTTATTGCTGCATAGTATTCCATGGTGTATATGTGCCACATTTTCTTAATCCGGTGTATCATTGATGGACTTTTGGGTTGGTTCCAAGTCTTGGCTGTTGTGAATAGTGCCGCAATAAACATACGTGTGCATGTGTCTTTATAGCAGCATGATTTGTTTTATTATTATTATTATTATTATTATACTTTAAGTTTTAGGGTACATGTGCACAATGTGCAGGTTAGTTACATATGTATACATGTGCCATGCTGGTGCGCTGCACCCACTAACTCGTCATCTAGCATTAGGTATATCTCCCAATGCTATCCCTCCCCCCTCCCCCCACCCCACAGCAGTCCCCAGAGTGTGATGTTCCCCTTCCTGTGTCCATGTGTTCTCATTGTTCAATTCTTCTTTGGGTATATACCCAGTAATGGGATGGCTGGGTCAAATAGTATTTCTAGTTCTAGATCCCTGAGGAATAGCCACACTGACTTCCACAATGGTTGAACTAGTTTACAGCCCCACCAACAGTGTAAAAGTGTTCCTGTTTCTCCACATCCTCTCTAGCACCTGTTGTTTCCTGACTTTTTAATGATCGCCATTCTAACTGGTGTGAGATGGTATCTCATTGTGGTTTTGATTTGCATTTCTCTGATGGCCAGTGATGATGAGCATTTTTTCATGTGTCTTTTGGCTGCATAAATGTCTTCTTTTTAGAAGTCTCTGTTCATATCCTTCACCCACTTGTTGATGGGGTTGTTTGTTTTTTTCTTGTGAATTTGTTTGAGTTCTTTGTAGATTCTGGATATTAGCCCTTTGTCAGATGAGTAGATTGCAAAAATGTTCTCCCATTCTGTAGTTTGCCTGTTCACTCTGATGGTAGTTTCTTTTGCTGTGCAGAAGCTCTTTAGTTTAATTAGATCCCATTTGTCCATTTTGGCTTTTGTTGCCATTGCTTTTGGTGTTTTAGACATGAAGTCCTTGCCCATGCCTATGTCCTGAATGGTATTGCCTAGGTTTTCTTCTAGGGTTTTTATGGTTTCAGGTCTAACATTTAAGTCTTTAATCCATCTTGAATTAATTCAATGAGTAGTTAGCATTTGTGAGATCTGGGATGTTGAATTTCTCTTGACTACTCAGATTATTTTTTTCTTTTCTTTAGCTTTATTGAGGTATAATTATAAAAATTATATATATTTAAGGTATTACAGTGTGCGATTCTAATATATGTATACATTGTGAAATGATTGCCACAATCAAGCTAATTAACATATCTACCACTTCAAATACTTACTTCTATTTTTCATTTTGTGATGAGAATATGTAAAACCTACACTCTTAGTAAATTTCAAGTGTATAATACATTATAGTCACCATGCTGTACATTGGGTCTACATAACGTATTTGTCATAAAACTGCAAGTTTGTACCCTTTGGCCAACTTCTGCCCATTTCTTCCACCCCCTAACTTCTGGTAATCACCTTTCTGCTGAGTTCAACTTTTTAAGGTTCCATATATACATGAGATCATGTAGTATTTGTCTTTCTATGCGTGGCTAATTATACTTAGCCTAAGGTCTTCCAGGTTCATCCATGTTGTCACAAATGGCAAGATTTCTTTCTTTTCCTAAGGCTGTATAATATTTCATTGTGTGTGTGTGTGTGTATGTGTGTGTGTCTGTGTATCACATTTTCTTTATCCATTCATCCACTGATGGACACCTAGTTTATTCCTCTATCCCGGGTATTGTAAATAATGCTGCAATGAATATGGGAGTGCAAATATCTCTTCAGGATAATGATTTTTATTTCCTTTGAATATATGCCCAGAAGTAGCATTCCTGAATCATATGGTAGTTCTATTTTTAATTTATTGGAGGAACCACAATACTGTTTTCCATAATGGCTGTATTACTTTACATTCCTAACAACAGTGTACAAGGGTTCCCTTTTCTCCATATCCTTGCCAACACTTGTTATCCCTTGACATTTTGAATGCATCCTATCTGGTGTGAGGTGCATTTCCTTGATGATTAGTGATATTGTGCACCTTTATTTATTAGTTGGCTGTAAGTCTTCTCTGAAAAAATGTCTATTTAGGTCCTTAGTCCATTTTATTTTATTTTATTTTGTTTTTTTCTCTCTCTCTTTTTTTTTATTATACTTTAAGTTCTAGGGTACATGTGCACAATGTGCAGGTTTGTTACATATATATACATGTGCCATGTTGGTGTGCTGCACCCATTAACTCGTCATTTACATTAGGTATTTCTCCTAATGCTATCCCTCCCTGCTTCCCCCACCCCGCAACAGGCCCCAGTGTGTGATGTTCCCCACCCTGTGTCCAAGTGTTCTCATTGTTCAGTTCCCACCTATGAGTGAGAACATGCAGTGTTTGGTTTTCTGTCCTTGCAATAGTTTGCTGAGAATGATGGTTTCCAGCTTCATCCATGTCCCTACAAAGGACATGAACTCATCATTTTTTATTGCTGCATAGTATTCCATGGTGTATATGTGCCACATATTCTTAATCTGGTGTATCATTGATGGACTTTTGGGTTGGTTCCAAGTCTTTGCTATTGTGAATAGTGCCACAATAAACACACGTGTGCATGTGTCTTTATAGTAGCATGATTTATAATCCTTTGGGTATATACCCAATAATGAGATGGCTGGGTCAAATGGTATTTCTAGTTCTAGATCCTTGAGGAATCACCACACTGTCTTCCACAATGGTTGAACTAGTTTACACTCCCACCAACATTGTAAAAACATTCCTATTTCTCCATATCCTCTCCAGCACCTGTTTCCTGACTTTTTAATGATTGCCATTCTAACTGGTGTGAGATGGTATCTCACTGTGGTTTTGATTTGCATTTCTCTGATGGCCAGTGATGATGAGTATTTTTTCATATGTCTGTTGGCTGCGTAAATGTCTTCTTTTAAGAATTGTCTGTTCATGGACTAAGGTTCATGAACAGATATGAACCTTAGTCCATTTTAAAATCAGCTTATTTGTTTCAGCTGTATTTTGAGTTGTATCTTGCTTTTGAGTTGTATGAGTTCCTTATATATTTTGGATATTGCTGTGGTTTTAATGTCCTCTCCGAAACTCATGTTGAAACTTAATCCTCAATGTGACAGCATTGAGAAGTGAGGCCTTAAAGAGGTGATTATATCATGAGGGTTCTACCCACATAAATGGATTAATCCACTAATGGATTAATGAGTTGTCAGGCAAGTGGAACTGGTGGCTTCATAAGAAGAGGAACGGGCCGGGCGCGGTGGCTCAAGCCTGTAATCCCAGCACTTTGGGAGGCCGAGGTGGGCGGATCACGAGGTCAGGAGATCAAGACCATCCTGGCTAACACGGTGAAACCCTGTCTCTACTAAAAATACAAAAATTAGCCGGGCGTAGTGGCAGGCGCCTGTAGTCCCAGCAACTCGGGAGGCTGAGGCAGGAGAATGGCGTGAACCCGGGAGGCAGAGCCTGCAGTGAGCCGAGATCGCGCCACTGCACTCCAGCCTGGGCAACAGAGCCAGACTCCGTCTCAAAAAAAAAAAAAAAAAGAAGAGGAACGACCTAAGCACAGCATGTTAGCCACCTTGCCATGTTATGCCCTGTACCACTTCAGGAATCTGCAGAGAGTCCCCAGTAGCAAGAAGGCTCTCTTGCGCCACATGCGCCCCCTCAGCCTTGGACTTTCCATCCTCCATAACTGTAAGAAATAATAATACATTTCTTTTCTTTATAAATTACCCAGTTTCAGATATTCTGTTATAAGCAACAGAAACAGATTAAGACAAATATTAACCACTTATCAGATATATGGTTTGCGAATATTTTCTCCTATTCTGTGAGTTGGCTTTCATTTTGTTGATTGTTTCCTTTGTTGTCCAGAAACAATTTTGTTTGACGAGATACCACTTATTTTTGCTTTTGTTACTGTGTTTTTGGTGTCATCTAAAACAACTTGCAAAGACCAATGTCATGGAACTTTTCACTGTTTTATTATAGGAGTTTTATAGTGGCAAGTCTTACATTAAAGTCTTCAATCCATTTTGAATTGATCTTTGTGTATGGTATATGATAAGGGCCAATTTCTTTTTGTTTTTGCATATGGATATCCGGTTTTCCCAATAACATTTATCCTTTCCCTATTGGGTATTCTTGGTAACTTTATTTTCTCCCATGTTAATTTTCTGTGTGGATGCTCTATTCATTGTCAATAATGGGTTACTGAAGTCCGCTACGGTTATTATATTGCTGTTTCTCCCTTCAGTTATGTAAATATTATATATTTAGGTGCTCTGACATTATGTGCATATGTACTTATAATTTTTATATCCTCTTGATGAATTAGCCCTTTATAATTATATAGTGAGCTCCTTTGTCTCTTGTTATAATTTTTGACTAAAAGTCTATTTTGCCTGATGTAAGTATAGCCACCCCTACCGTCTTTTGTTTTCCATTTGCATGGAGCATCTTCTTTTCATCCCTTTACTTTCATTCTATATGTATCCTTAGAGCTGGAGTGTGTCTGCTACAGGCAGCATAGATAGTTGCAACTTGTTTTTAAATACATTTAGCTACTCTGTGTCTTTTCATTAGAAAATTTAATCCATTTACGTTCAAGTAATTATTGATAGTTAAGGACTTAATATAGTTATTTTCTTGGTTGTTTTTTGGCTGTTTTGTATATCCTTTCTTCCTTTCTTCCTGTCTTTCTTTGTGATTTGCTGATTTTCTGTAGTGGTATGCTTTAATATCTTTCTGTTTTGTGTATCTAGTATAGGTTTTTGGTTTGTGGTTACCATAAGCTTACATAAAACATGGTTTCAACAGTCTATTTGAAGCTAATAATAACTTAGATTATTAAAATAGATTACATACAAAAACTCTACATATTATTCTCCCTACTTTTTACATTCTCAGTGTCAAAATTTACATTTAAAAAAATTGTATATTCATTAACAAATTATATACTTTTAATATTTTGTCTTTTAACTTTTATATTAGCATTAAAAGTTATTTATATACCATCATTACAGTATTAGAATATTCTGAATTGACTGTATATTTACCTTACCAGTGAATTTTATACTTGGATATGTTTTCATTTTACTAATTATTGGCCTTTCATTTCAGCTTGAAGAACATTCTCTAGCATTTCTTGTAAGGCAGATCTATTGGTGATAAACTCCCTCAGCTTTTGTTTGTCTGATAAAGACTATCTCTTTCTCAGATCTGAAAAACAGCTTTACGGGTAAAGAGTTATTGGTTGGCAGTTTTTTTCTTTCAGCAAATTGAATATATCATCCCACTATGTACTGGCCTAGAAAATGTCTGCATAGAAGTGCTAATATCCTTTTGATGTACCTTTAAATG
Source organism: Homo sapiens (assembly GCF_000001405.40). Lineage (NCBI taxonomy): Eukaryota > Metazoa > Chordata > Mammalia > Primates > Hominidae > Homo > Homo sapiens. The sequence goes on from NT_167246.2 coordinate 3,669,127, forward strand.
TGATATGCTTCTTTCAAGATTCTCTCTTTAACTTTGATTATTGACAATTTGACATAATGTCTTGGAGAAGTCTTCTTTGGGTTAAATACAATTGGAGAGTTTTGAGTTTCATATATCGAGATGTCTATATCTCTTCACAGATTTGGAAAGTTTTTAGCAATTATGCCTTAAATAAGCATTTATTCTATTTTATTTCTCTTTTCCTCTGAGACTCCAATAATGCAAAAAGTTAGCTCCCTTGATGGTGTCCCATAAATCTTGTACATATTTCTTCATTTCTTTTCTTTGTGGTTTTTTTTTTTTTTTGTACTCTGACTAGATAATTTTAAATGATTGGTCTTTGACTTCTCTTATTCTTTCTTGTACTTGATCCATCATCTTGGAAGCTCTCTATTTCCTTTTTGTTTTAGTTTAGGCATTGCACCCTTCAGCTCCAAAATTTGTATGGCTCTGTTTTGTTTTTTTTTCTCTTTGTTGAACTTCTACTTTTGTTCTTGTGTTGTTTTCCTGATGTCATTATATTGTTTGTGTTGTCTTGTAGCTCACTGAGCTTTCTTATAACAATTGTTTTGGATTTTTTTGTCAGGCAACTGGTGGATTGATTTTTAGGCAAACCTTCATTTTTGGGGGTTAGTTACTGAAATATTATTGTGTTCTTTTAGTGGTGTCATGTTTCCTTGATTTTTATGACCTTGAAGTCTTGTCTTGTGTTTTCACATTTGAAGAAACAGTCACCCTGTTCAATATTTGTTTGTGCCTACTTCACAGGTGGGATTTTTTCCCTTTTTTGAGAGAAAATCTCACTCTGCTACCCAGAGTGGAGCAGTGGCATGATCGTGGCTCACTGCAGCATCAAACTCTTGGGCTCAAGCAATCCTCCCACCTCAGCCTCCTGAGTAGCTGGGACTGCAGGTGTGCACCGCCACATCCAACTGATTTTTTTTTTTTTTAGAGACGGAGTCTCACTATGTTGCCCAGGCCAGTCTCGAACTCCTAGTCTCAAGAAGTCCTCCTGCCTCGGCCTCCCAAAGTGCTGGGATTTCAGGCATGAACTACCACACCCAGGGTAGATGGGATTTCTAAGATTGTGCTTTCTCTCAATCCTGCAAAGCCAGTCCAGGTTCTGAGAGCCTTCCCTTTGTTTTCCCTAGGGTGGTGCTCTGGAATTCTCAAGTTTGTGTCCTTTTTTCCAATCCCACAAAGTCAAACTGACTGTGAGATGTTTCCTTTTGTTGTCCATGGTGGCTCATTTGGGGACTCAGCCTAGATGGGAGAGTGAAATGTGTGAAAGGCATGCCTGTGGGTCAGTAGTGCAAGGAGCATAGGTCACGCATCTCAAATGGCAGGCTTTCTGATGAGGCTTTCTGATGAGTGGGTTCTGCAGTCTCTTTTCCCTGCTCCCAGCCTCTCCTAACCATTCAACTATGCTGATCATCTCAATGTTCTGGGTGGAGTGAGAAATAAGTGGGCTTATCGGACAGCATCCTGAATGGCTGGGGGATGTGGGCACTCATTAAGTTCTGCACATTTTTTCTGTGGGAGAAATTGTGGGCCAAGTGGGTCTGTCTCAGCATTGAGTTGTGCCACCTTGGGGGAGGAGTGATGTGGGTAAAGTGAAACTGTTCTTCTTACCCTCTTTAATACATCTGTTCTAGGATTTTATAACCTGACAGCGTGCTGGAACTTCTCTGCTGGACTCCTGGACTCCCACAATGGTATTGTCTCATCTGTGGATAGTTGTCTAAATTGATGCTTCTGTGTGGGAAGAAAGCTCCTATTCTACTATTTTGCTGATGCCTTTCTCTCATATTACTTTTGTTAAATAATTAGGAGTTGGATAGGAGAGGAATTGCATAGCTTTGGGGAAAATGGTGCCTCATAGCGTGATGGTGAACATTTGTGAACATTTCTCAGAATATTCTGTAACTACTTTGATTTCTTCTTCTTTTTTAAATTTTGGTCAGTTTTTATAGCCTTTTATGTTGTGGCAGGAAGAAGCCTGATTTTCCTTTAATTTTACAAAAATCTCTACATATACTTACCTCGGTTATCATATGAAGTGTCTAGAGAATTGAAGAAAAATTATAAGATTCTTAATTTCTCATAAACAGACTCCTATATTAATTTCTTAGCAATACAATAATTTACCACTTTGTGTTGAATATGCATGTCGGGATCCTAAAAGAGAAGATAAAAACATAATGAGATTTTACTTCAACAAGTGAGTCTATATTATTTTTTGTTAGATAGAAATCTGTTTACCTCTTCCTCTTTTAGATCTCTGAGAAGAAAAATCTTTTAGGAAAGAAAAAAACATATTAACTTTACCAACAGTTCATGAAAAAATAAGTTTATCGGGCCGGGCGTGGTGGCTCACGCCTATGTTCCCAGCACTTTGGGAGGCCGAGGCGGGTGGATCACGAGGTCAGGAGATCGAGACCATCCTGGCTAACACGGTGAAACCCCGTCTCTACTAAAAACACACAAAAAAATTGGCCGGGCATGGTGGCAGGTGCCTGTGGTCACTGCTCAGAAGGCTGAGAGAGGAGAATGGCGTGAACCCGGGAGGCGGAGCTTGCAGTGAGCCGAGATTGCGCCACTGCACTCCAGCCTGGGCGACAGTGCGAGACTCCGTCTCAAAAAAAAAAAAAAAAAAAAAAAAGTTTATCATTAGTCTCAATCCAACTACTAAAAGATTTGCTAGTTTCCCAGATATTCCCATTTTCTTTAGGTTCCATTTCAGAAAATAAAGAGGGAATGCCATGGCACTGTGCTCTTCACTCTTGTTGTTCATGATAGATGAATCATAGAGGTAAGAAGGAGAAGGATGGACCAAGAGTCCAAGTGTGGGGCATGGACAGCAAGCGAAGTGACTGAGTTACTTTCTCTTTTCTTTCCTCAACTCTCAGGGATCTATATGCTTGTAGCGTGTGTGTGTGTGTGTGTGTGTGTAATTATTTCCACATCCACAATCTCATAACCTTATAGTTCTGGTGTAGCTGGTGGGCCTGGTGTGGACAACTTTAGTGGCTTCCAGCAAGAATGAGAGGTAGCTCTAGTGGTTCTTGTTGAGTTCTGGAGATAGGACTAGTCAGAAAGAGAGAAAGAGAGAAGGAAAGAGAGAGAGAGAGAGAGAGAAAGAGAGAGAGAGACAGCCGAGGGAACATCTATAGGCAGCCCTGGTGAGTGGATACTGAAAGAGAACATTGAGTGTTGGGGCGTGAGGGTTAGGGATAGCCATGGTACATTGAAATTAGTGGTACTGGTGTGTCCCTTCAAAAAAGTAGACAGCGCATTGCCGTCTTCTCATAACTCTCACGTTTCAAAACCTGAATTTGATATCCAGCTCCCTCCTCAGCTAGGTGAACTTGAGTAAGTCTCAATCTTTTGAGCATAAATTTCATCTTCTTAAATGGGGATAAGCTTTGTTTACCTCTTCTACTGTATGGCTTTCAAAGTGTATTTTCACATATACTATTCCATTTCATATTCATTTTATCCACATTTTAAACATCCAGGAAATTGTTTCGGAGCGGTTCCTTAACCTTTCTAATATCTTGGAAGTAGACAGAAGATGGAAATGAATTCTTTTGATGGTCTTAAGAAGGAGAACTATTTACCTTTTCTGAGAAAAATGCACAATTTTTCTTGAGAAAGAGAGGAGTGATAAGCATTTGAATATTATAAAAACGAAAGATATGCTGACTCAACAAATCATGCTCAAATGGAGATGAGTTGATTCACACTCTAAAGAGTATATTCCTTCATTAACTGTCTAGTAGTTCCTAATCTATTTACCTCTACCATCCTCATAGTCCAGAAGTCTAGCACCTAGAAAAAAAGGGAGAGCACATGATTTTGCTTCTTGATTATTAAATGAGGCTTTATTTAAGACTCTGAGAACTAATGTAAACATGAACTCCTAATGGTGAATAATGATGTGAATTAATTTACTTTGCAGGAACTAGGAATTGTGCATAAGCTACAAGAGCTGACGATGATAAGTGACTGTGTCAATCACCAATTTTATAATATTAGCCAGGCTAAATGATAGTCAGAAGGAGTTTCAGAGTTTCTTTTACCTCTTGATACTTCAGCAGCTAGTCTCCTGGTTTTTGCCTCATACCAATCCTGTGCTATCTTTCTTAACAACTTTGGCATCTCTCCAGACCTTTCCATGGAAAGTCTTCTTCAATTCTTCACATCCTGAAGTTGGTACTCTTGTCAATCATAATTACCCTAACTGTGTTCACTCTCGTTATTCTAGGATACATTATATTTTTCGGTCCGGCCACTTCACTAAGGCCATCTTCATGAATGGATTTAGGCTTTTTACTGAACCATCTGTTCCAGTGCCTGAACTGGAACAGTTCTCTGTTGCTGCTCTCAGACCACAGGAAGCATCTGAAGGGAGCCTCAGAATTATGCAGGCCTACCCAGTATTAATTAATTCTCCCCAACTCCAGTTTGGCATTCAGTACTGCTCAGAAATCTCTGGTAGATTTCTCCCACTCACTTAGAAGCAGTTCAGTTCATGCAATGGTGCACTATGCAAGGTTCTGGAAACACAACTGTAAACAAGACAGATTTCATTCCTGACTTGTGAAAATTCTATAAGTACTATATTTATTTTTCTCATGAGTATAAGTACTTACTTTGTTCTGAACTGTATCTGGAGATATACATTTCTGTGGAAGAATTAGGCAAAATGTTTTTATTAGTTACTTAGGAGAAGTGTTCTTCCTCTGATCAAACTCTTCTCACTCTAAGCTATGCTTCTTGCTTACCAAGGTGGTCCTCCTGATATAATGCATTGTTGTTCTCACCCATTTTCCACATCTCCCATCAGCCCTGTTTTACCTATCTTTTCACACTACTTATGCTTTGAGGGCTCACAGGCATTGAGGATGGGAAACAGGGAGGGAATACAGCTGATTAGAAAGTTGTGGGAGAGAAACAGAAAAATCCAGGAAAGAGAGACCTTATGGCATAGAAATAGGTCTTAGCTTTTATGAGCTCCATCTCTATTTCATCGACAAGTACTACTCTGTATTTGTCTCTTCTTATCATCTCCCCAAATTAAGTCACTAAAAGTCTCCAATTCTTTTTATATAATACTAGATACTGGTGTTTAGCAACATACTGTCTTCTCACTTCTATTTTTTTTTTTTAAACTCAGGTAATTTCCCTTGGAGCTCAGGTAATTTTCTTTTAAAATATTCTTATTACTTTTGCTAAACTCTGTGATTTTTTTTTTTTTTTTGAGATGGAGTCTTGCACTGTCACCCAGGCTGGAGTGCAATGGCGTGATCTCGGCTCACTGCAACCTCCGTCTCCTGGGTTCAAACAATTCTCCTGCCTCAGTCTCCCGAGCGGCTAGGCTTACAGTTACCTGCCACCATGCCCAGCTAATTTTTGTATTTTTAGAAGAGACAGGGTTTCACCATTTTGGTCAGGCTGGTCTTGAACTCCTGACCTTGTGATCCGCCCGCCTTGGCCTCCCAAAGTGCTGGGATTACAGGCGTGAGCCACCGCTCCCGGCCTGTGACTTTTTCTTTGACATTATTGATAATGTAAACCTTGGGAGTTAAAAGTGCAGGGACAATCACTAATAGGTCAGAGATTCTTTGACTCAAGTATTGAAACAGATTCCCAGAATATTGGCAAAGTCTCTAGCTGTTTGATGAGTGAGATGAACTCAGACTGAATCTTGGCATCCCTCCCTCCGTGGTTTTCACAGGAAATCTTCATTTTGACTCATTATTACTCACCACTTTGCTTACATCGTGCCCATCTTGTTAACAAAATAGCCAGGATGGCAAGTCCCAGTAGAGTCAGGATGACAGCCAAAGTTATTTCTGAAAACAAAAACTCACCTGTAAACATGCTTATTTAGACCAGGAAATTACCAGAAACAACTTCTGATCACCTCTTACTATCCACCAGATAGACTTTTTTTCTTTCCCCTTTCTGCTACTTCAACTCCTTTATTCTTTTATTTGCCGCATATTACTGTCCTCACATTCCCGCCCCTGCCCATTTTTAGCTCTTACATTGGTTCTTTGGTCGTATACTAAGAACCTCAGATGCTGTGTACCCTTGGTTTAGAGTTGGAAATCTGACAGATTTCCTCCTCAGTTGAACCCTTTACTCCCCAGGCAGGAAGAATGTTAAAGGGAATCAGTGGTCTACGAAGCTATCCACTGGGGTATGGGGAAAATATTAGAACTTCTATTTTCTGTGTAATTTTAACTCATACCTTTAAAGTTGCAAGATTTTCTGTATATATATATATATATATATATATATATATGGCTATAAATAAGATTTATAAATATACTTTTATAGGCAATGCATACTCAAAACATTTTTATGAGTGAGTGATCAAAAAACTTTCAGCACCTTGACTGAAGGGTGCTGACTGAAGGTGGTTTTATTAATGAAAGCCACAGCAAAGGACAGAAATTTCTTGTCACAGAAAAACCTTTCAGCCATCACTTGCCAACCTCCTGATGATAAGATGGATATTTGCGAGGTTTGTTATTGTGGTTAGTAGGATAAAATATGCTGGGATTGCTTAACTTGTGTTTGTTTATGTGTCATTGATCTGCATTCAATTGATGTAAGATAGAGTCTTGCAGTCATAGGAGAGAAAAATCTTAGACAATATCATATGGTTATAAAGGGCAGTGGCTATGAAGGATCGGGGGAGAAAAAAAAAGAAAAGAGAGAGAGAGAGAAAGGAAAGAAGAAAAAAACAACCATAAAACTGCCTGTGAAAGTAAAAACTCTGAAGAATATTGAGCTCTGAAAGACTAGGAAAGTAGATTACACCCACATTAAGACTACTTCAAACGAACAATAGGTGAATCCATCTCAAGATATAATAACACACCTCCAACCAGGGCAGATTAGGCATTTGTCTACTGAGTCTTCTAGGTGTTTGGTCCTGTGAGAAAATTCTCCTGCCAAATCAACTTTTGGAGATTTTCTACTAATGTACCTCTAAAATGAACAGCAAGTAGTCAATATGCCCTCTATTATGTGAATTTTTTTTTTCTAGTGTTAAATAACTCATCGGGGAGGAAAGGATAACTAGATGGTGTACTCAGTACTACTGTATATTCCTTTTCTTCCTTTAGTGTCTGAAATGCCCTGTCTATAGGGCAGTTAGAAGATGGTCCACCCTATTAATAGGGAAAATGAGAGGAAATCATTATTTCTGAGTTGAGGCAGATTATATAGAGTGACCATGCTACAGGAAGTGAGATAATGGGCTAAGGAATTTTTCCTAGTGCTACGGAGGATGGTTATTTTCTTTGTTCAGTTTAAACTCTAGAAACCAAAGGAGAAACCAGCACTATCAGCCTAGAGCTTAGTTAACTGTGGGTTGTTTCCCCCAGGCTTCCAGAGGAATCAATAAGAGTGAAAGAAAAAATATTGAATTTGAAAAGGAAGCAGGCAAGGAAGATAAAGCAGTTGTGTTAAAGTCCCTAAGTCCCTAAGAGGAGACTCCTGAACTACTAGAGTTGAGGAAGCCTCAAAGAGGGAGTTAGTCCATACCCAAGACTGTCATTTTCCATGTATTGTCTTCATCAGGTCTCGCATCATCTGGATTTCTTTGTCAGAGAGAGATCAAGATAAAACGAAAAACTCAAGTTCACTGTTTCTGAGCAATATGAACTTGGGTGTCAGGGAGGCCCTTGTAGGCAGAGATGCAGAGGATCACTGAGAAATTGTGTGGAGCAGATTGATCAGACCTAAGCAAATGATGGGAGTGTGGCCTGTGAAGGTTCTAGAATCTGTGTCATAACAGAGACTTAGAACATTAGTGAGGCAGGAGAAAAGGCAGAGGATCAAAAGGCTAGGAAGATTTAATAATGCTTTGGAGGACCTTGAACTTGTATAGGATACTGGAAGGGAACTCACTCTATCTGGGCTTTAGAATTATTTCTAGTTTTTCAGAGATTTTTAAGGCCAGAGATTGTATATCATTAATCTTTGTAACTCTTTTTTTAAATTTTTTTTGAAGATAGAGTTTCACTCTTGTTGCCCAGGCTGGAGAGCAGTGGCACCATTTCGGCTCACTGCAACCTCCACTTCCTGGGTTTAAGCAATTCTCCTGCCTCAGCCTCCCAAGTAGCTGGGATTACAGGCATGTGTCACCACACCCAGCTAATTTTGTATTTTTAGTAGAGGTGGGGTTTCTCCATGTCGGTCAGGCTGGTGTCAAACTCCCTACCTCAGGTGATCCACCCGCCTTGGCCTCCCAGAGTGCTGGGATTACAGGCGTGAGCCACCGTGCCCAGCCTAATGTTTGTAACTCTTAAGGCAGAGAACCTTCCACAGAATAAGCATTTTATAAATGTTTGATAATTAAAAATGAGAAAAATGACTATATTTAAAAAGAGGCAGACTGGATAAAGAAAATGTGGTAAATATACACCGTGGAATACTACACAACCATAAAAAATAATGAGATGATGTCCTTTGCAGCAACATGGATGGAGGTGGAGACCACTATTCTAAGCAAACTAAAGCAGGAACAGAAAACCAAATACCATATGTTCTCACTTATAAGTGGGAGCTAAACAACAAGAACACATGGACACTAAGAGGGGAACAACAGACACTGGGGCCTACTTAAGGGTGGAGGCTAGGAGGAGGGAGACAGCATATCTCTTGGGTTTTATGCTTATTACCCAGGTGACTAAAGAATCTGTACACCAAACCCCCACAACACACAATTTACCCATATAACAAACAATTACATACATGTACCCTTAAAACTAAAAGTTAAAAAAAGAAGAGCCTTGAAACAAATGAAGGTGAACAAAGGAAGTCAAGTTGTTGGAGTTAGATAGCAAGAAGAAATCCAGTCCAGAGGTCTATGGTGCTAGGAAGAGTGAGCCAGTAAATGGGATCTCATAAGCCACTGTGGAGAACAAGGAAGAGTAATAACACCTTTTATTGAGTGTCTATTGACTACAAAGTTCTATAGTGGGTACCTTATAAGCACAAACTTGTTTAATCCCTAATAAACTGTACGATGAAATTCTTTGAGATGGAGAGAGACACTAGAAGTTACCCAGCCAACAAATGGCAGAGTTTCTGACTCCAAAGCCCACACTGTATTCACAAAGCCACATTTTGTTTCAGTCTTCTATGCATCCTGTGGTGGTGATTTCTAAGTTAAGAAGTCAGTCACTTGAAGAGGAAGGTGATGACTTCTAGTTTTAGGATGCTCCACCTGCCAAAAATAATCTCAAAATTGTTGAGATTATTTTTCCATAAGTGTTTTATGCATACTTATGGAACACCATCAAACATACAAATATATGAATTATGGAAGTACCAAAAGAAGAAAAAGAGGAAGGGGCAGTAAGCTTAATCAATGGAATATTATCTGAGAATTTTCCAAATCTTGAGAGGGATATGAACATCCAGATTGAAGACGATCAAAGCATCCCAAGCAAGTTCAATTCAAAAAAGACATACTCCAAGATATATTATAATCAAATTGTCAAAGGTCAAACACAAAGAGAGAATTCTGAAAGAAACATCACGTGTAAGAGATCTCCCATAAGTCCATTACCAGACTTCTCAACGGAAACCTTGCAAGTCAGTATTTTTAACCTGCAGAATTGCTATTTATTTCTATAATTTCTCCTTCTGATATTCTCAAATTGCTGAGACATCATTCTTATACTTTATTTTTTAGACATGTCTTATTCTGCTAATTACAATGTCTGGGCTTCTTCAGAAACAGTTTCTTTTTATTATTTTCTGTGCATGGGTCATGATTTCTTTTTTCTTTACATGCTTCATTATTTTTTGCTGAAATCTAGACATTTTGAATATTATAATGTTGCAATTTAGAAACCAGATTTCCTCCCTCTACAGAGTTTGCTGTTGTTGCATTTGTTGTATTACTACTTGTTTGTTTGTTTGTTTAAAGATTTTTCTGATCTAATTTTATAAAGTCTCCATTCTTTCCTGAATGTAACGTTTGATGTTTCTGCCCGGTTAGCTTAGTCATTAGCTAATGATTGAACAGAGACAATGCCTAGAACCAAAGCAAACACTATGCTAGTCTGTGCCAAGGAACTCTGTGTGTGTGTGTGTGTGTGTGTGTGTGTGTGTGTTGAGGTACACCTTCAACATTCAACTAGTCTCACTTTTGCCCCTCCAACAAATGCCCAGTGAATTTGTGCCCAGTAAGGTCCAGGTCACCTTCTTCCTACAGGACTTAAAGCAAACCAAGGGGGATCTTGGCAAGCTTTCAGATGACCCTTATAGATATATAGAGGTTTTCCAGACTTTCACCCATATATTTAAACTCTCCTGGAGAGATGTTATGCTACTTTTGAATCAGACCCTGATGGACACTGAGAAGCAGGCCGCTCTGCAAGCAGTAAAGAGATTTGGGAATGAGCTTTGTATCACATATGGCATCAGGGAAGGGAGCAAACATTATCCAACTGGAAGAGAAGCAGTAAAAGTGAATGACCCTAAGTGGGATCCCAATGACAGGTGGAAGACTGGAAGAGGAGACGCTTTCAGATGTGCATAATGGAAGGCTTTTGTAGGACTAAGACCAAGCCTCTCAATTATACTAAGTTGTCCATGATCGACGAGGTATTTGATGAAAATCCTGCTGCCTTCCTGGAGAGACTAAGAGAGGCCTTGGTAAAGCATACCTGTCTATCTCCTGATTCAGTCGAGGGACAGCTAACCCTAAAGGATAAATTTATTACTCAGGCAGCTCCTGACATCAGGAGGAAGTTGCAGAAACGGGCCCTGGGACCGGATAGTACATTAGAGGACCTTCTGAAAGTGGCCACCTTGGTCTTTTATAATACAGACAGGGAGGCCCAGGAAAGAGAGAGGAAATACAGGAAAGAGACAGAAGCTTTAATGGCCACCAGGCAAGCCCACAAACCCCAGAATTCCCAGGGTACACCTGTTAACTACTAAAGATATGGCCAGAACAGTTATCTCATTCTAAAAGTTTATCCACTCCCATACAAGGTTTAATTTCTTTCACCAGGGTGAAACATCTCAGGGTACAATGTTGTTGTTAGTATATTTCACTTCTTAACTCTGTAATCTTTGGCACTAATTTTTTTTCCTTGTATAATACACGTATTTATTATAGTATGTATAGTATGTATGTACATAGTTACAGTGTGTATAACTTGGGTATACATACCCAAGTATATATAATCCATGCATACTTAACCTTATAAAACTTGTTTTTTCTCTCACACCTGGAAGCCATCAACCTCCAAATGGTCAGGGAACCGGAGCCTTGGATGATGGCTCCCCTTTGCTAGGAACCCTTATATACACCTCTGGGAAGAATCTGACTGCCGTTTTCCCCAAAACGATGCCCCTATCAGCAGGAAGCAGCTAAGACCCGTCATCATCCATATTCGAACAGCAGTTAGATGTACCTCTTCAGACGGGGGAGGTGATATAGAAGAGGGGCAGGGAAGTGCTGGTAAGGGAAGGGCATGGTCCCTGGCTAAGGCTCCACCCCTGGGCCTGTGCCCACAGACCTAGGTAAGGACAGACACTCCTGCCTTCATGCCCAAATGTTGCATTTCCCAAGACCACCCTGGCCTGCCATGCCCCCATCCTGTGCCTGTAAAAATCCTGAGACCCTAGCAGGCAGGGACAGAAGCGGCTGGACGTCGAAAGGAACACATCAGTGGAAGAACACACAAGTGGCTGGATGTCAAGAGGGACACATCGGTTAAAGATCACGCCAACAGGAACCAGCAGATGCTGGCACGCTGGCAGGCCATTGACCAGCGGAACAAAATGGAGTTTGGCCAGGGCAGTTGGAGGGGAACCCAGCTGCTGAGCAGCCTGATTCCAGGGGAAAACCACCTTCCCACTCCATCTCCCTTCTGGCTCCCCCATCTGCTGAGAGCCACTTCCACTCAGTAAAACCTTGCTTTCATTCTTCAAGCCCACATGTGATCTGATTTTTCTGGTACACCAAGGTAAGAACCTGGGATACAGAAAGCCCTCTGTCCTTGCAATAAGGCAGAGGGTCTAACTGAGCTAGTTAACACTAGCTGCCTATACATGGCAAAACTAAAAGAGCACACAGTAACACATGCCCACTGGGGCTTCAGGAACTGTAAACATACACCCCTAGATGCTGCCGTGAGGCCAGAGCCCCACATCCTGTCCGTCTGTATGCTCTCCCTAGAGGTTTGAGCAGCAGGGCACTGAAGAAGTGAGCCACTCCCGCTGTTGCAAGCCCTGTGAGGGGGACAAGAAGACCTTTCCCATTTCAGTATCTTAGAAGGTGGTAACTGCTGTGAAAAGTGAAAAAGCAAGTCAGTGAAAGAGAACTACTGGCAGCTGCAGTGGGATTTCGATTTAAATAGATTATCCTGGATATACCTCTGTGAGAAGGCAATACTTGGGGGAAGTAGGGTAGATATCTAAGTGGATTTCTGAGTGAAGAGTTTTCCAGGCAGAGAAGACAACTACAGCAAAGACCGTAAGATAGGAATGTGTCTGGTGTTTTCAAGGAATATGAAGTGGCCAGTGTCACTGGTATGAACTGATCCAGGAAAACAACAGTAGGAAAATAAGTTAGAAAGATAATGGATCAGCCAGGCATGGTGGCTCATGCCTGTAATCCCAGCACTTTGGGAGGCCAAGGTGGGAAGACCCCTTGAACCTAGGAATTCAAGACCAGCTGGGGAAAGATGGCAAGACCCCGTCTCTACAAAATAATAAAAAAATTAGCCAGGCATGGTGGCATGCACCTGTAGTCCAGTTACTCAGAAGGCTGAGGCAGGGGAAGACCCTTTGATCCCAGGAGGTTGAGGCTGCAGTGAGCTATGATTGTTCCACTGTACTCCAGCTTGGGCAACAGAGCAAGACCCCGCCTCAAAAAAAATTGTAACATCTAGTGAGCTACTGACAGGACTTTGATTTTAACTTGAATGAAATAAAGAGATAAGATGGGTCATTATGTAGGCAAATGACACGTTTTTACCTATGTCTGCATAAAGACATAAAACAATTTTTCTGCTGTGTTAAGAAAAGACAGTAGTGGGAGGAAAAGAAGAAGCAAGGAGACTACTGTTAAGAGTTATCCAGGCAATCGTTGACAGTACCTTTGTCTAGTTTGTGAACTACTAAAGTGGTGAAATGCATTTAAATTTGTAGCAGTATTTTCCCCACTGGGGATAAGGGAATGACTGCCAAAGATTGCCAATACCTAGGCATTAAGGAGAACATAAATATAAGTATGGAATTTCATGCAGACCAGGGTTAAAGGGTCTAAGGATACACCTGAGACAATGTCTGAAAACTAAGGAAGGGAAGAAAAGTGAACAGAAATAGAGTTAAGTGGGAGTAGTTGTCAGAAAAGAAAGTAATGTCTAATTATACAGCTGTTTATTGATTAACAGAGGGCTTCTAAAGGGCAGTTATTTAGATAAGAACTTCTTAGATGAGAGTGCAACTTCGCTGAGCGTAGTAGATTCTAATCTTATGCCCTTTGCCATAGACATTTTCTTTCCCTGATGATTTTTTTAAATCCATATTTTATATCTGCAAACACATGTTTCTTTCCCTCAGGTTCCAGAATCTGTGTCTCAAGCCTACGTGGCTTAGATGGGATCTAACAAGAAAAGTCTGTCCCCTGTCTGGGTTACTGGGTCCAACCAGTTGGCAAGTTTTAGCTCTGATTTTGTTTCTTAACTTCTAGAATAACAGGAATATAGGGTATCTTAGTATTTCAATGACAAACTCTGACAAAAGGATATATATCAGAGGTGGGGACTTTCAACAAATATTGGACTAGAGCAAATAAAACTGTCATATGCAGTTGGCATTATTGTGTATTTAGAAATTGCAAGAAATACTACAGCTAAATTTTTGGAATTAATAAGTTTACCAAGGTTATTAAATACAAGAATAATATCCAAGAACCAACACATTTTTATAAGACAGAAATGAAGAGAACATACAATTTGAAAAGAAAATACAATTCACATTATCATCAAAATTACACACTACCTAGGAATACATCTTTTTAAAAAGTTCAAAATATGTGGATTAAATGTAAAAAAACTTTGTCTTATAGATATCCAGATATAGCTATAGCTCTCTATAAATAAAGAGGCATGTATAGTTTTTAGAGTAAAAATAAATACATATTTTATTTTATTTTATTTGCTTGCTGCAAAACTTTTGTGACATATTGGCTCCTTAAGCAATATTTGGAAACAGGGTAATACTGTTGAGAAAACAAACATATTACATTTAGAGATTCGAAATGAGAATATATACTTTACAAATTAAACCACATACTTTGACATTTTCTTTAAAAACTACATTTATAAATTGTATGGTAACACCAATGTTTATCTATTCCCTGGGCCAATCTACTAAATTATCATGATATGGATAATAATCCTCCATGGCAATGTCAAAGATGGTATTTAAATAGACATTAGATAGATAGATAGATAGATAGATGATAGACACACACATATAATTTGTTTGATTTTGTGTTTTTATTATTTCTATACCTAGAGTCAAGGGGTTAACTGAGCTAGGTGCAATCTGATTCTTTTTATTCTAAGTAAAATAGCCAGGCACAGAAAGACAAATACTGTGATCTCACTTATACATGGAATCTAAAAAGTCAGACTCATAGGAGTGGAGAGCAGAATGGTGGTTACAGGCTGGGGAAGTGGGGCGATGATGGGGAAGATGAGAAGATGTTGGTCAAAGAGTACAAAGTTTCAGTTACACAAGAGCAATATGTTTTTGAAATATATTGCTAATAATAATGTATATTTTACAAATTACGAAGAGGAAATTTCAGTCTGTTCACCAAAAAAAATTGATAAGCATGTGAAGTGATGATTATGTTAATCAGTTTAATTCAATCATTCACTATATAGCTTAATTTAATAATTCCACTATATATAATATATAGATTTATTTTTATACTTTTATATATTTGTATATAGTTATATATATCTATGAATATGTAGTTATATATTATTTATATATAGTTACATATTAGTATATATATTTATAGTCTATAAATGTATGTAATATATAATATACATTATGTTGTACATAATATATATGCTGTGTATGAAATATATATAAATAGTTTTGAGGTACATATATCTGTCAAAACTTGATATTATGCCTCATAAATATATATATTATTTTCTATTATAAAAGAAAATATTAAATATAAATCAAATTTATTTATATACCAGTAAAGCATATAAAATTATATAAATATTGAAAACAAACCTATGTAAATATAGATATACCTCTTTATTTAAAAGACTTCCTACAGTCATGGATTGGAAAACTTAATATTACTAAGGTGACAATATTATCCAATGTGATAGGGAGATTCAATGTAATTCCTTACCAAAATCTTAATGGCATTATTTTTTGGATAGAAATAGAAAAATCTCTCTTAAAATTCATGTGGAACATAAAAGGACCTCAAGTAACCAAAACAATCTTGAAAAACAAGAAACAAATTTGCAGGACTCTCACTTCCCAGTTTCAAAACTTAATACAAAGTTACAGTAATCAAGAGTGCATGCAGCACTGGTATAAAGAAAAATACAGAGACAAATGGAGAAGCATTGAGAGGCCAGAAGTGAACTCTCAATTCATTTACCACGGGTGCCAAGACCATTCAATGGGGAAACGGTGGTCTTTGACAAATGGTGTTGGGAAAATTAGACACCCACATGCAGGAAGAATGAAGTTGGATTCTTACTTTAAGCCATGTGCAAATTCAATCAAATTGAGCCAAAGACCTAAATTTAAGTGATAAAACTGTAAAACTCTTAAAAGAGAACAAGGGAAAAATCTTCATGACTTTGGATTAGGCAATGGCTTCTTTAAAATGACACCAAAAGCACAGACCACAAAAGAAAAATTACATAAATTGGGCTTTGTAAAAATTAAAAACTTTTGTGCATCAAAATACACTTATCAAGAGAGTGAAAAGAAAACCTACAGAATTGTTTGCACAGATGCAAAGATTCTAATTAAAACAGTAAGATAAATCTAGTAAAAAATACATATAATTAAGTGTAGTTTAATCTTAAAAATATAAATTTTGTAATACATTAATACAATTATGAAATTATATACATAATATAAAGCAAAAACAAAATTAAAAACAAGAAAATAAAAACTATGTAATCTTAGATGGCACAAACATTTTAAAATAAAAGTTAATATCCACTCATGATTTTAAAAATAAAACAACAGCAGCAACAATATCCTCTAGCAATGTAAGAATAGAAGAAAATTTTCTGAGTCTACTAAATAGTGCCAGGGAAGAATCAAAAGCTAACATCAAAAACAGTAGTGTTGTATTGCTCACTTTACCCCTAAAATCGAGAACAAGAAAAGAATGTCCTCTATTAGTACTTCCAGTAGTGAGGAGGACCTGGCCAGAAGAATAAAGCAAAATAATTAATTAATTAATTAAAAGTAATAAAGATTGGAAAGAAAGAAGACAATATTGTCATTCACACATAATGTGCTTAAGTACTTAGATAATCGAATGGAATCTATAAAACCACCAAACTTCTAGAATAATTAATCAGGGATTTTAGCAAGGTCTCAGTGTACAAAATTAATAATGAAAATAAATTTTATTTCCATACATTAGTAATTAACATTTGGAAAATGAATATATCACTTACAATAGAATCAAATAGCATAAAATTCTTAAGAATATAATTAACAAAGTATATGCAAGATACCTACACTGAAAACTGCAAAACCCTTCAGATAAAAATTTAAAAATACCTACATAAAGGAAGAGACCTAACAAAAGTGTTGTATCTAGACTATTTGAAGAATTTCTTCAACTTCATAAAAATATTAAATAATGCAACAAAATAGAACAAAGATTTGAATGAATATTTCATAAATGAAGATAGATGACTAAAGAATTCAACATAATCATCAGGAAAATGCAAACCAAAATGAGTTATTACTTTACACTCACTGACCTGGATATAATTTAAAAGGCTGAAAATATCAATTATTGGTTATGTGGAGTCACTGAAACTCTCATACATTGCTTATTTGAATGTAAAATAGTGCAGCCACTTTGGAAAACTGATTTGTAGTATTTTATAAAATTAAACACATACCTACTCTTTGACCCAGACATTGTATATGGAATGAAAAGTATAAAAGAAATGAAATATGTGTCCACAATAGACTTGAAAGAGAATGTTCATAGCAATTTTATTAATAATAGCCCAAACCTAGAAACATCCAGGTATCCATCAGCAGAAAAATGAGTGGAAAAAACTGAAGCATATTCATAAAATGAAATTCAACTTAAAATATTAAAAGAACATACACAGCAATATACATGATCTCAACATTATATTGAATGAAAAAAATTAGATACAACAGAGCAAATAGTGTATTATTACCATATGAAGTTAATGAAAAGGCAAAACTAAACTTTGATGATGGGAATCAGACTACTGGTTGCCTGTGAAAAATTAATGTTCTTTGTTTGGATTGAGGTATGAATTACTTGGGTGTATTCAATTGTTAATACTTATAATCTGTGCTTGTAAAAATACATGTCTGTAAATTACACTTCAATCATTTAAAAAAGAGAGATTACAAAATTTTGAGTTTGAGAGTAGAAATTCAAGCCTAATCTTCTTGAGCCTTTTAAGACTACTGGGTTGAAAGGGAGACAGACCCTAGCTTACTTTATAACACTGATGATATGGATTTGAGGTGAGAGAAAAAAAATAGTTTTCATCATCCTAATGAAATTTATGTCTTCTCACATCCACAATTTTTTTCAATCTCATGTCTTTGGAAAATCCTGCTTCGCAAATATGGAAGAGAAAGCTATACCCTCCCCTCTAGGAATCAGAGGTTGTCCTAACGTCCTCTTTCACATCATTCTCTTCTATAAACCCAGTGTCCTTAAAATTAGTTAGGCCTATAGTCAAGTAAGACTGTAATAATAAATATAGTAAGTGGAACTGCCAACCCTGTCTTTCCTAATCTTTTGAATTAGCAAAATATCCTTTATCCAAAGGGAAGAGAAGAAATCCTGTGTCAGGAGGACATAATTGCTATCTCTCCAGAAAAGAATGCCAATCCATGTATCTCTCTTTTTGTTTTTTTAGAGAGAGAGACAGGGTCTCTCTCTGTCACCCAGGCTGGAGTGCAGTGGTACAGACATGGCTAACTGCAGCCTCTATCTCCCAGGCTCAAGCAATCCTTGTCCTCCTGCTTCAGCCTCCTGAGTAGCTGGGACTACAGGCATGTGCCACCAAACTCAGCTAATTTTTTGATGTGTGTAGAAATGGGGCCTCACTATGTTGCCCAGGCTGGTCTCAAATTCCTGTCCTTAAGCTACCCTCCCATCTTGGCCTTCGAAAGTGCTCGGATGTTGGGATTACAGGCTTGAGTCACCACACCAGCCTCCCTCTATCTAGAAACAGAATAAAGGTGAGGGGGTAGGTAGGCAGGATTAAACAAACAAAAAACACTGTCCTCTGTGAATGATCGATTCAACCAAATTAAAGACCATGTATCAAAACCCTGCACCATTCTCTCTACTGACAATCACACTCTTGCATAGTCCCTCACACTATAGCAGGAGTGGTCTGTATGACCAGTTGACAACAGCAGAAATTATGGTATGTTACTTCCTATATTAGGTCATGAAAACATTAAAGTCTTCCTTCTTCTCCCCCACTTCCCTCCCCTCTTCTCTCTCTCTCATCATCTGTTCTGGGGGAAGTCAGCTGCCAAATCTTAAAGACACTCAGGTGGCTCAGTGGAGAGGCCTATTGGTGAGGAACTGAAGCCTTCAGTCAACAGCCATGTAATGAGCCTTCTTGTAAAGAGACCCCCAACCCCAGTCAAGGCTTCAGATGGCTGCAGCCCCAGCCAATGGCTTCACTGCAACCTATGAGAGACTGAGCCAGAGCTACCCAGCTAAGCTGCTCCAAAATTCCTGACCTGTAAGATAATATGCAATTGTTGTTTTAAGCCACTAAGTTTCCAGGTAATTTGTTACCAGTAATAAATAATTAATTCACTAAGAATCTGTCATAAGTGTGGCTTCTCTCTGGATTATGATTACTCACTTACTACAGTGGTTCCCAAAATGCAAGCCTAAGCTGAATCCTAGTAGTTCTTCTTTGAATGCAGCAGCTTTGCCCTTGATACATGACTTTCTCTCAGTTCAATTGTATTAAATATTTGAAACACAGAAATGCCTGCCTGGACCCTCACCATGAATCCCCATCCCTTCTGATACCGGAATCTGGTTGCTATTTCCAGAACATTTCTCATCAAGACATTATCCTAACTTATGGTTTCATTGCTAATTCATAGACACTTGTCCCATTATAGAGATCTAGTGATTTCCATGTGAGATTTTTGCCCTCACACATGCCAATTCCCCTTGTTCTACCTGTTTACCTAACATCAATCAGATGTCAATAATGGAAAAGAAAAAAATCAAGAAGTAGGAGCTTAAGACACTGTGTACTGGCAGGGCTATTGCTTATTTCTGCCGTACCCCTCTTTCTTGTCATCTCTTAGTTCAGATGCCTTGGCCCTGTGCATAGTGTGCTCTATCTCATGAATCTGAAGTAAAGAGAATCAAAAGGATGAAGAGCTTTAAATCTTTTGACAACATTTAAGAGAGAACAGGAAATTTTCCTCCCTTTTCCTGGAAGTCTTTGCTGATGAATGAAAAATTGGGTTTCCTTTATGTAACCTGTCGATGGGGAGGCAAAACTTGTCCAGAAAAAATAAAAATGTTCTCACTGTGCTATGTTACTAGAATTGTGATCTGAAGCCTGGAGCAGAACTTACCTATGCTACTCATCTCAATCCTTTTAGGCAGTGGCACTAGGAGCCTTACTCTGTTCAAATTTGGTGCCTTCCTACAGTTATGGAAGGAAGCTCTGTATTCTCCTTACTTTCTCAACCTTTGATCCTAACAGAGGCAGTTTCTTTTTCTTTTTTTTTTTAATTGATAATTCTTGGGTGTTTCTCGCAGAGGGGGATTTGGCAGGGTCACAGGACAATAGTGGAGGGAAGGTCAGCAGATAAACAAGTGAACAAAGGTCTCTGGTTTTCCTAGGCAGAGGACCCTGCGGCCTTCCGCAGTGTTTGTGTCCCTGGGTACTTGAGATTAGGGAGTGGTGATGACTCTTAACGAGCATGCTGCCTTCAAGCATCTGTTTAACAAAGCACATCTTGCACCGCCCTTAATCCATTCAACCCTGAGTGGACACAGCACATGTCTCAGAGAGCACAGGGTTGGGGGTAAGGTCACAGATCAACAGGATCCCAAGGCAGAATTTTTCTTAGTACAGAACAAAATGAAAAGTCTCCCATGTCTACTTCTTTCTACACAGACGCGGCAACCATCCGATTTCTCAATCTTTTCCCCACCTTTCCCCTCTTTCTATTCCACAAAACCGCCATTGTCATCATGGCCCGTTCTCAATGAGCTGTTGGGTACACCTCCCAGACGGGGTGGTGGCCGGGCAGAGGGGCTCCTCACTTCCCAGTAGGGGCGACCGGGCAGAGGCGCCCCTCACCTCCCGGACGGCGCGGCTGGCCGGGCGGGGGGCTGACCCCCCCACCTCCCTCCCGGACGGGGCAGCTGGCCGGGCGGGGGACTGACCCCCCACCTCCCTCCCGGATGGGGCGGCTGGCCGGGCAGAGGGGCTCCTCACTTCCCAGTAGGGGCGGCCAGGCAGAGGCGCCCCTCAGCTCCCGGACCGGGTGGCTGGCCGGGCGGGGGGCTGACCCCCCCACCTCCCTCCTGGACGGGGCGGCTGGCCGGGCGGGGGGCTGACCCCCCACCTCCCTCCCGGACGGGGCGTCTCGCCTGGCGGGGGGCTGACCCCCCCACCTCCCTCCCGGACTGAGCGGCTGGCCAGGCGGGGGGCTGACTCCCCCACCTCCCTCCCGGACGGGGCGGCTGGCCGGGCGGGGGGCTGACCCCCCCACCTCCCTCCCGGACGGGGCGGCTGGCCGGGCAGAGGGGCTCCTCACTTCCCAGTAGGGCGGCCGGGCAGAGGCGCCCCTCACCTCCCGGACGGGGTGGCTGGCCGGGAGGGGGCTGACCCCCCCACCTCCCTTCCGGATGGGGTGGCTGCCGGGCGGAGACGCTCCTCACTTCCCAGACGGGGTGGCAGCCGGGCGGAGGGGTTCCTCACTTCTCAGATGGGGCGGCCGGGCAGAGACGCTCCTCACCTCCCAGACGGGGCGGCGGGGCAGAGGCGCTCCCCACATCTCAGACGATGGGCGGCCGGGCCGAGACGCTCCTCACTTCCTAGATGGGATGGTGGCCGGGAAGAGGCGCTCCTCACTTCCTAGGTGGGATGGCGGCCGGGCAGAGACGCTCCTCATTTTCCAGACTGGGCAGCCAGGCAGAGGGGCTCCTCACATCCCAGACGATGGGCGGCCAGGCAGAGACGCACCTCACTTCCCAGACGGGGTAGCGGCCGGGCAGAGGCTGCAATCTCGGCACTTTGGGGGGCCAAGGCAGGCGGCTGGGAGGTGGAGGTTGTAGCCAGCCGAGATCACGCCACTGCACTCCAGCCTGGGCACCATTGAGCACTGAGTTAACGAGACTCCGTCTGCAATCCCGGCACCTCGGGAGGCCGAGGCTGGCGGATCACTCGCGGTTAGGAGCTGGAGACCAGCCCGGCCAACACAGCGAAACCCCGTCTCCACCAAAAAAATACGAAAACCCGTCAGGCGTGGCGGCGCGCGCCTGCAATGGCAGGCACTGGGCAGGCTGAGGCAGGAGAATCAGGCAGGGAGGTTGCAGTGAGCCGAGATGGCAGCAGCACAGTCCAGAGGGAGACTGTGGAAAGGGGAGAGGGAGAGGGAGGAGAGGGAGAGGGAGGGGGAGGGGGAGGGGGAGGGGGAGGGGGAGGGGGAGGGGGAGAGGGAGAGGGAGAGGGAGAGGGAGAGGGAGAGGTCTAATTTACAAATACAAATTCTTATGAGAAAAATTTTAATTACTGAGGATGTTTGGTTTGAAAAGAAGATTAGTTACTACCAGTATTAGTACTATTGCTACTATCACCTCTGCTATTAGTGTTACTATAAATATTGGAAGCTAAAATGAACCAAGTGTTCATCACAGAGAAGTCATAGTATTAAGTTCCCTATACGCTATCTCATTTATTTCTCACAATAGTCCTGTGCTGAATGCCATAATTATTTGCATTATTATGAGAGTTAGGTGTGCCTGAAAGAAGCAAGGTAACGTCACCAAGATCAGAGCTACTAAAGAAAGAGCAATTATCAAGATTCAGATCTTTTTGACTACAAGGCCTGGGATTTCAATCACTAGAAATAAAGGTGTATGAGAAGTGGATGGCCCAGTTATTACATAAACCCACAGAAAATGAAAATGAAGAGGCTTAAATGAAAGTGGACACACCATGACTGGAGATACTATAGGACTTAATTTTAAGAACAAGCAATAACGTAACAGGCGTTTGAAGAATAGGCAGGACCCCATCCTGAAAACCTTACCCTGGAACACTTTCAGGTGTGACAGCCATCCTGGCTAGACAGTCCTAGCCTGGATGGAATAGATGGTTACTGAAGATCTTGCCCAACCCTAGCCTTCTAGGACTTACACATCGTGTATCTCCTAGGACGGAACACAGTTTTACCTAACCTTCCAGTTTTCTCCCTCTTGTTTTTCTCCATTCTGCCTTCCCAGTATTTGCAGCTTTCCTCCTTTTTTTTTTTTTTTTTTTTCCAACTATACATGCAGTGGCTGTTTCTCTGGATCCAGATGCAGCTCATCCCAACCTCATCCGATCTGAGGGTAGAAGATACACTTCTTCAACGGAGAATGTTCCCCGAACTGGGATGCCCCCACACACCAAGGACAAGGGGAATCCAAAACCATCTTCAGTGTTCTGGGTTTACCACAGGGGAGACATTACTTTACCACAGGGGAGACAGACATTACTGGGAGGTAGAAGTAAATAATGGGGACAGAAGTTGGACCAGGAACGAGATGAGCTCTGGGTGTTTGTTCAGCACAATGAAGAGAGAGTGGTGGTTTGTAGAAAGTCCAGAGAAGAATTTCTGCATGGTGACATGTGAAGAAGGAAGGGTCATGGCTCTCACTTCCTGCCCAGAGACTCTGTCAGGAGCCTCCCTGTCCCCCTAGAAGGTTTCCAGGACAGCAAGGCTGGAGACGTGTCTTTTCACAACGAGGTCGATTAGTCCCACATCTATTCTCTTACTGGAATCACCTTCTGTGGGATTTTCCATCCTTATTCTAGCCTTCAGAGTGCTGGCACATCTGTGACCTTCTGCTTAGATCATCATGAAAATTGTCCTGATTCTTTTCCAGTTACCCCTGTAACTTCTTTAACGAGTTGTGATAGAGATGTTGCCCAGGAAGCTAATGTTCTATTAGCATAATAAGCAGCGAAGTGTTGGCACCTCTGCTGTCTCCACTGGAGCATCTTCTAGGTACATTCACCAGGAAAGCTGTCCTTGGATGGTGAGTAGGTCAGTTTCACTAGGTGTGATTTCACTTTCTGTCAAAGAGGAAGAGGCAGAAAGTGAAGTGAGAGAACTGGAAAATGTCCAGGGAGATTTCCTCCAGTGCTGCTATTGGGGAAATACAGTCTCTTTGTGGGCAGCAACTATTTCTCACAAGAAAACTCCAAACAAGTTCATGGGTTTCTCATCTGTTTTCATGCTGAGTGTGTGTTGAAGTATATAATTTTAAAGCTACATTTACAGGGAAATCTCTTCTTACTATTTTTGTTATCAAATATGGAGGAGGGGAGGCGTTTGAAGGGAAGTATTGCAGTAGAGTGAATTCTCACTTCCATTACCACTGTTGGAGATGCATAGGAATCTGTCCAAGTCCTTTAATAGCTCAGCGTGTTTGCTCTTCAGGCTCTAGTGTACAATCAACTGCTAATCTTGGACTTTGACAAGGGACGGAGAAGGCTCATGAATAATTGTAAATAATTGGAGGAGGAGCCCAAGCCTTCTGGAAGGAAAGAGCCCTTTTCTTTAATAAGTTCTCACTGGTCAGCAAGTCCAGAATTGTGTCCTATGTGAGAATGTGAATGAAAGAGGAGTCAATGTTGCAGTTTATACTTTAGGAGAGAAAGCAGTAAAGTAGAAATAAAGAAACATCTGTACCAAGAGTCATTGCTAACATTAACATTCTTTTTCTTCCTGACCTGTTCTGCCCACTGTTGAGGGTTTCCCTTGTCCTTGCTGCATGTAAGACTTCTCCAGCTGTTTATCATCAAGTTGTCTTCAAGGATATAGAATATGAGCTTCTCCTGCTTTTTGTTTGTTTGTGTATTTTTGTTTGTTTGTTTGTTTTTTCTTTGACGGAGTCTCGCTCTGTCACCAGGCTGGAGTGCTGTGGCACCATCTCTGCTCACTGTAACCTGCACCTCCCAGGTTCAAGCGATTCTCCTGCCTCAGCCTCCTGAGTAGCTGGGACTATAGGCATGTACCACCACGCCCAGCTAATTTTTGTATTTTTTTTAATACTTTAAGTTCTAGGGTACATGTGCACAACGTGCAGGTTTGTTACACATGTATACATGTGCCATGTTGGTTTGCTGCACCCATCAACTCATCATTTAAATTAGGTATTTCTCCTAATGCTATCCCTCCCCGCTCCTCCCACCCCACGACAGACCCTGGTGTGTGATGTTCCCCGCCCTGTGTCCAGGTGTTCTCATTGTTCAATTCCCACGCAGCCATAAAAAAGGATGAGTTCATATCCTTTGTAGGGACATGGATGAACCTGGAAACCACAATTTTTGTATTTTTAGTATAAGAGAGAGGGTTTCACCGTGTTGGCCCAGATGGTCTCCATCTCTTTACCTTGTGATCCACCCGCCTTGTCCTCAGAAAGTGTTGGGATTACAGGCGTGAGCCACCGCACCTGGCCGAGCTTCTTCTGTTAAATGAACCCTTTCTTCCTGATGATGGAAGAGATCCCCTTAGTTTTTCTTCTACAGTATTTGCAGATCTGTAAACCACAAGTGCCTCTAACAATCTGTCCTGTAGATGTATCTCCTTGGTGAAATTTCACGTCACACACTAAGTGGCAAAGACAGTATTCGAAGCCAGGAAGAATCAAGCCAGAGCCTAGTCCTAATTTCACTGACCCTAAAGGGAGGCTTACACATTTCATCAAGAAATAATCAAGGCAGGACAGAGGTAAATAAATGGTGATAAAATATTAATAGTTATAATCAAATGGACATGGTGGATGAGAAGGGATTTCTGGACATGTGAGCCCTAAACATGGGGGTAACAACAAAACAGGAACAAATGGGGTGGAACTGTGGTATAGAACACGAAATGTAACAGGTTCAGCCTTAGACATTTTACTTTTTTATACACTTAGGACATTCAGCATGAGGTTCAAGAGGAGTTTTTACTATCTCTTTTTCAGAGTCTAAATTCATATTTTTTCTACAACAAGATTCTTAAACTTGTCACTTCTTTACTCATTTTAATGGGTGTTTGTCCTTCTAAGCTTAGAGATTGGGGAGCAGTGGCTGCAGGTGGACATGGTAGAAAACGTGAAGGTGGATGGTTGATTGGACTCAGAGCTTTAGACCTGTCAGGGATAACAGTGTCCATCTTATTTTCATTTGTAGCTTTGAGTAAATCAATAAGTAGTGCAGGGTCTCCAAGTAGCCTATCCTTTCTGGAAAAGTGAATTCACCACCTGGCTACATCAATTAATTCTTTATTGCTGGACTACTCTGGCACTCCCATTTTTAGTAAAGTTTATGAAGGTATAATAAGACATTCCAAAAACAGAGTGACTCCACTGCAAAAAAGAAAGACCTGAGGGCAGGAATTATGTCTTATTAAGGATTGTATCTCTAGGCCTTAGCATAGTACATTCAACAGGTAAGATATTCAATAAATATCACTTTATGAGACAATTCATGCATTTTACAAATGTTTATTGATAATCAATGTATGTCATTTTTACAGGTTGTGGGGCTAGACAAGAAGGAAAAAAATCACTGTCCTCATGGAAGTTAAATTGTACTGACAAAGGAGGAAAATGTCAGGGAGTTAACAATTCAGTCTCTGTGGCTTCCTCCTGTCCTCTCCCTGAAACTGAGATCCAGCCAATCTGCACATTTATTCTGAGAGTGGCCCCACTTTAATGACTACACCCAGCTGTCTACACACCAGGAGGGGAGGGAACTGTATCCTGAGGCACCAACCTGATTACCCACCCAACAGCCACAGGGACTTCCAGTGACTGGGGCATCATCCTCAACGCCACCAACCCCTCTCCTTCCTGTGGCTTTTCTAACTGGAACTGGAACTCAGAAAGTACATTAATCACCAATTTGGGAAGCTATAGGAAAGTATGTTTTCTAATATACAGTGAGAGAATGTGACTGATAAAAACCAATTTTCTTGAGACTTTCTCCCTGGAAAGTGAATATATGTATTCATAGGGCCTTCACAAGCACAGACTAACAAGCAAAGAGCTACATTCACTAGGAAGGAAGACTCAAAAGTAAGTGAAAAATAATAGTTAACCTTTAGATGTTGTGCAATAAATTATTTTTAATTACATTAAATCAAAATAGTGTTAAAATATTTTCAGGTAAACCTAGTATATTTACTAATAAATTTAAGTCTTCATAAATATAAAGATAGATCAATGTAAATGTAAAAATCATTTGTTAAACTCCAGAGATTATATAAACAAAAGGTGAACCTAATGTAAAACTGTGGACTTTAGTTGAAAATAATGTGTCACTATTCTTTCATGGGTTGTAACAAATGTGCCACACTAATGTAAGATGTTAATAATAGCAGAAATAGGGGGGAGAGAGGAGGGATCTAGGAGCTCTCTGGATTTTCCATTTTATTTTGTTATAAATCTAAAACTGTTCTTAAAAATAATGTCTGTTAATTTTTTTTTAAAAAAGGAAAGAAGCACTGATACATGCTATGACATGGAAGAACTCTAAAAATATTAGGCTAAGGGAAAGAAGCCACATACACATACACATACACAGATAGTTTATGGTTCCATTTATATAAAATATTCAGAATAGAAAAGTTCATAGGGACAGAAAGTAGATTACCTGGGGAGTAGGGAGTGAAAAATGGGTAGTAACTGCTTAATGGGTATGAAGTTTCGTTTAGGGCGATGAAAATATTCTGGAACTAGAAAGTGATGATGATGGTCACACAGCAATGTCACATATACAATACCACAGAACTGTACACTTTAAAATGGTTAAAGGGTTTTATTTTATGTTATGTATTTTACCACAATTGAAAAAAATGTTTATTAAAATTAATGTGTAAACATTTGTGGAAGAATAATGTGTAGTTTCTAACATTTATGTGTTTAAATTTATGAGTTTAAAAATAGAAAAAAAAATGATGGCCCAGAAGAGCAAGTTCAGAGTGCTGTTCATGAGTGATCCGCATGGGACCGCGATGCCTCTGACGTCTGCCATCCTGGAGAGCAGCAGAGCGTCACTAGCAGGTCCTCGTCTTCTCACTTCATAACATTCTTTCCAAAAGTCTTGTTGACATTCTTCTGTCTTCCACATATAGTTTATCTTCTTGAACTCATTATAACTTTAAAATATTTTTACTGTGTTACATGTACTGCTTATATTTGTTTATTTTATAATTATTAATTTTAAATTGTGCACTTTATTTTGCTCTAACAATAAAATTGACATGTTCGTATAGATGATACATAATTTTTCGCTTGGATCGGAAAGTCTAAAATTTTTTTCCTGACTCAATTTCCTGTATCAACTTTCTCAAAAAGTCTGGAGGAGGGATTTTACAACACTTCATAAGATTTTCAAGATTATATTTTAGTGATCAGATTTTTCTCCCCCTTATGCAGCTGTATTTTCTTTCACTTTTTTTTAACTGTATATATATATTTTTTATTTTCTCAGTTCCACCTATGTGGACAATTAATTGTCACCATCTTAAATAAACTGATCAGGCCAGGTGTGGTGGCTCATGCCTGTAATTCCAGCACTTTGGGAGGCCGAGGCGAGTGGATCATTTGAGGCCAGAAGTTTGAGACCAGCCTGGCCAACAAAGTGAAACCCCATCTCTACTAAAAATACAAAAATAGGCTGGGCATGGTGGCACATGCCTGTAATCCCAGCTACTCATGAGACTGAGGCAAGAGAATTGCTTGAACCCGGGAGGCAGAGGTTGCAGTCAGCTGAGATCATGCCACTGCACTCCAGCCTGGGTAACAGAGTGAGACTTTGTCTCAGAAAAAAAAAAAAAAAAAAAAAAAAGAAAAGAAAAAGAAAAAAAAAAGAAACTGACCAAATCCTTGATTATTCCTTTCATTTCTTCCTGTAGGCTAAATTGTATTTCCCATGGGATTTTCTAAGGGTCCTTGATTATCAGATGTCAGATTGTGATTGATAGGCCGGATCTCAGAGAACCTGGAACAGGATAGGTCTCTGAAAAGATCAGTCTCCAGCAGATTTTCCTGAGTAGAATTAAAACACCTTGAGTTAGTACTTCAATGATCATGGCAGCCCCCTTCAAGCAGTTAGAGAAATGAGAAATGATCAGGACTCAGAATATCATTCTGGTTTCCAGAATCCCAGATTGTTATTTTCCTGATACGTTGGAGATGTTCTTGTGGGTACAGAAAAAATGTCCAGAGAACCTACATTAGGGAACCAAAGAATGAAGCGGGGTGCAGAGTCCCAGAGAAGGAAGTTTTGGGGAAGGTGTAGATAGGGCACTTGCCAATCATGTTATAAGAGGAGAGGTATTCAGAGGCACGGTCAGGGGGATTCTGACTTGTTCAGGGGCCACCTTCAAGGGTATGGGGCTTGGAAGAGAGGGGATGGCCCAGAACTCATTTCTTTTGCAATCCATTGCCTAAAACTCACTGTCAGGTGACACAGAGATGACTCTTTCTTTGCAACATGTGCTTGGCAACCTCCGGGACCCATCGCGCCCTGTTCCCAGTCTCCACCTCTCAGTACCAGCTCCCTGACAGGAGTTCCCTCTGGCCCATAGAGCAGATAGTCAGATCTCTGTGGGATATCTGGCTGCCTGAATGTCCATGGATCACACGCTTGTTTTGTTCAGAAGAAATCAGTCTCAGGTGAGCTGTGTTTGAAGCCAATGTCACATTCACTGTAAAGAAAGAGAATCCATTCTGATAATTAATCAATATAATTTCATTCTATTAACAGCCAAACAGGAAGACAAGTGTTTCACGGACATAAGAAATTTAAAGTGGAAGCACTTTCTAGAGCACACAAAACAGCCTC
The DNA here is from genome assembly GCF_000001405.40 of Homo sapiens. Taxonomy (NCBI): domain Eukaryota; kingdom Metazoa; phylum Chordata; class Mammalia; order Primates; family Hominidae; genus Homo; species Homo sapiens. Next base: position 3,698,520 of record NT_167246.2, read on the forward strand.
CCTAACACATGAGAAGTCACCAGCAACACAGAAATCACCAACAAGTAGGTCACCACATTTTTAAAGATCATAGGAAATTGTTCACGCCAACAAATCTCAGTGAACCTCAGCTCTCAGCCTTGAAAACAAGGATGGCTGTACTACTCACTTTTTTCTTCTTCTTCCCTAACCAGATCACTGGGGAATGGGCAGCAGGAAATCAAATCATTATCTTTTAATCATTTTGCTTCTATTACAAGTGGAAACACTGACCTCATGCATCACTGAGCCTGGATTGCATGATAAGCCCTGGGCTTTCCTGTTTCTCATGTTTCCTTAGTTACTGGATATTCACTGACTGCCTCCCATAGGTGACTTGTGAAAAGGGAGGCTCGGGGAAGTACGCAGTACGGTTCCCACTGCAGTGTGCTCCGCTGTTTCTGTTTCCCTGACTTACCTCTTTTCAGCTCCTCTTCCTGGGCAGGCCTACAGCCACAGCAAGAAGCAATCCCCAAACAAGCAGTGTTTTCCACAAAAACGTCATCCTGGACTCTAAAATGGAAACCCAAGAATCCCTTGAAACTGTGAAACTGGGACAATATTAAGATTGTACTTTTCATCTGAGCAGCTTCTAGGCTGGAGAGAAGGGAGAGAATTTGGCCTCCCAGGAAGCAGTTGGCCTGCTCCTCCCTGCTCTGGAGATGCAGAGGAGAGAATGCAAGTATTTCATGTTTGCTCGTCTCAGAAATGTACACATGCACAGACAAGTTTTCCCTTCTCTCTTCCAACTATATCACACAATCACTGGAATGACTTGAGGAGGAAAGGATAAAATTACTCAAGCCGCAACCATGAAGATGGTATTAATAAAAATCAGTTTCTAATCCAGAAGAAAATCCTCCATGAGGGGGAAAACACAAAGTTCTGTAATTTAATTGTTTTCACATCAGAAGAAGAGAATTTAAAGAGAGAGAGTGAAAACAGGGTCAATTACGAGAATTTAGTGTGTATCCAATGATAAAAATAATTGCAGGGCGCTAGTTGAGGGTGTCAGAGAGAAACTCAGAGGAGTAGAATCCCTGGGTGTCCTGAAAACCAGCTTTGCAGAGGATAGCAGGAGACCTCGTCAGAGAGCAGCAAATAAAAATCACAAAGGAAGAAGAGCAATACAATGAGTAAGTCTGAGTTGGTCTTCATATTTATTTTCCAAACCTGAAGGAACATAAGGAATCACCAACCTGAGAGAGAAAAAGTTGCGATTTTCTCCTCGCCCAAAAAGGGGATGCTGATGGAACAAGTGACGTCCACAGCGGAGATGTTTGTGACCCTTAGCAATGTCTGCACGTGGAACAGCCCGTGGCTGCCTTGAGTCAGGGCCTGGGAAGATGATGGTATCGTCTTTCCTTCCATGTCCCTCCATGGCACGTGGGGCTGTGGGAACCACCCATCTGAAGAGCACATCGGCTGCATTTCTCCATCTTCTTGCCCCTCCACAGTGATCAGTGGGGAAGAACCCAGACCTGGGGCAGAGAAAGCAACCAAAGCCTGGGGTCCTTTCAAGTGGATGAGTGGGCAGCAATTTCACTGGGAGGAAAGAAGGGGATGTGGAGGGCTTGGGGAAGGGAGAAAAGCTTAAGGGGGATTGCACTCCACTTAGGGATGAGGCTGGCTGGAGCATTTTCTTATTTTGTTTGTTTGCTTATTTTTATTCTTTGTATTCCTAAATCATTCTGGGATGATTAAGAGGTAAGGTAAATGTTCAAATCCAACATTTATTCTGTCCCTGAGAACAAAATAACTTCGGCCAGGGCATGGGTCACATGGACAGGATTAACATACGGAGTAGGAGGATATTCTCAAAAATCGAAACCTTATAAATATCTACGTCCAATGGCAGAAAATACGAGGCTCATGAAACTTCTCAACATGCGCTCCCATGGCTAAACGTGTTTATTAATTTAGAATCAAAATCCGTGGGAGAAACACGTAGCATATCCAAGACTTGGGCCTATATGTACTCAATGGCATCTGCTAACCTTGGACGTTTCAATTCTCACACACACGGACAGTGGGAAATGATGCTGCAGGGAGTGATTTCATCTTTTCTCCCCTGTCCCTGCCAAAACTGTCAATATTTATAATTTTGGTTTACACAGTGGATCCAGTTTAGTCTTCAGATGATTACAGTTTCTAGAATTTTATTGCATTTCTCAGAATTCTAATAACACACTGTGAAACAATGAGTCTTTTGTAAAATATGTAGTAAGATACTCAGATTTCCTTAAAGATATGGTCAATTTTTGAAGATACTGGAAAAGATACAAGTTATATGCCCAAATAATTAAATTTCATCCATTTGAGTTTGTGGATTTTAAGTAACTATGACAGTTTCACACACTGGAGGATTTGATATAAATTTGATGATGAATAAGCATTAAGGAAATTTCAAATGTCAGAGAAATTGTCCAGGAACTAGCATATTAAAGTGGCAGGAGCAGGTATTGAATACAAAATATCTATCTAGAATTCTTACCTACCACCTTCAGATCCAAACTGGCCTCTTGGTAGACATCATCTTTTTCAAAAAGGCAGCGGTACTGCCCGTCGTCCGAAGGTCTGGCACTGAGTATCTGCAGGGTCAGTCTGCCCTCGTCAATGGCGTCACTCACCAGCACAGTCCTCCCTCTGTACTCTGCCATCTGCTCTCCAGCCACATGGTCCCCATCCATATACACATGCACAGCAGGGTAACGGTGGGATCGGTCCCACCTCACCTCCATGCTCTGTGCATTCGCCTTGGGGGACAGGTAACAGGTTAGCTGTATATCTTCTCCCACTCTGACGAGGATGGGCTGGGAAGGTCCATTCACTTTTAAAGAAGCTGTTAAATAGAGTGGACAAAACACAGTGAAAGAATCAAAATGGAACCAATAATGTCATCTCTAAGAACAGCTCCATTGGAGTTTAGAAACCATGAGCATCCCAGGGTTGCTGTGAGGCTCAGGGTCATCCTTAGGTGAGGTGGGGGTTTCATGGACTCAGAATAGAGGTTGCTCTTCTTTAAGGAGGAATCGTTCCATGATGTGTGTCAGTCTGAGTAAAACAGTAATTGAATCCCTACCTGCTTCTACCTGTATTTTTTTCAGTTTACAGACCAATAATAAAATAATTTTGCAATTAAAACTCCCAGATAGGCTGGGTGTGGTGGCTCAAGTCTATAATCCCAGCACTTTGGGAGGCCGAAGCGGGTGGATCACCAGAGGTCAGGAGTTCAAGACCAGCCTGGCCAACATGGTGAAACCCCGTCTCTACAGAAATACAAAAATTAGTCGGGCATGATGGTGGGTGCCTGTAATCCCAGCTACTCAGGAGGCTGAGGTGGAAGAATTGCTCGAACCCGGGAGGCAGAGGTTGCAGTGAGCTGAGATCATGCCACTGCACTCCAGGCTGGGTGACAAAGCGAGACTTTAAAAACAAACAAACAAAAAACACCCAGAATAAAGTGAACAGTTTATAAATTTGGCCCCAGATGCTCTGTACCTGACTCCTTATGTAACAAACTGCAATTTAACTTAGTACGTCAACTACTGAAAGCCTAACTTAGGTTGGTTTGTTACATAAGCACTCAGGTACAGAGGCATCCTGGGGCCAAATTTATAAATTGCTCATTTTATTCTGAGAGTTTTAATTGCAAAATTATTTTATGAATAAGCCTAACTTAGGAGCTAAGGCTAACTTAGGAGTACACTTTTGTAATAAATAGCTGAGTAGCAGCTGCTGCACTTCTGTTAGTTGCAGGCAGCCAACTGTTGAAACCCTGTTCAAATCGGCAAACGCCAGGCTGCAACCAATAGAGCTGTCTCTGTACCTCACTTCTGTTTTCTGTACCTCATTTCCATTTTCTGTCCATAAATGCTGTCTGACCAAATTGCTGCTTTGAATTCTCTGAAACCGTTCTGATTCTGAGGGATGGCTTGTTTATGAGTCATCCTTTTCTCAGTTAGACTCTGCTAAATTTAGTCTGTCTAAAGTTTTTCTTCTAACACTTCAATTCTGTATGATTTTAAACTACTTCTTAATCTGTCTTAAACTACTTCTTAATGCCTCAGTTTCTTAAACTGTAAATTTGCTATACAACTACCAAAATCATAATGTTTCAGAGTTGAACAAAATAGTTTGCATTAAGTGCCTGGAAGACCCTGCAGCGTGAGCAGAGGTGCACAGACCTGTGAGACTTGAAGGCGTTGGAGCCATCCCCACCCTCTGACGTGGTAATAGGGAGGGGTTTAAAAACGTGTCTCATGTGGACTTTTGGTAATGATATTTGAAGAAGCTTTCCTCTAGGTGGACTTTATAGTACCTTGTAAGTCTGGTCCAGCCGCTATATTTTATTTCCCCAATGCTCCACATAGGTGGAGTTATAGACACACACCAGTTGAATGTCCTCAAATAATTTTGAAAATTAAAATTAACATTTTAAGATCAATAATTGGGGAAGTCGGCAAAGTACAAATTGTGAAACAATGATGAATGTAAAAAAGGGGTCTAATTCTCCCACTGTGCAAAGTGGGGAAAGATGTTCTCTGAGGGCTTTCCTGGGCCCAAGCTATATTACATTTTCCATTCTCATCAGGCCCTGCCCGTGCCATTTTTTCTCTATTCTAAATTAAGTGTCGTCCTTTTCTGTTAAATGATAAGAATGGTTTTGCATAAGGTGTGATCATTTATAATAGAAACACAAGCATAAAATTGTTGGTTCTCTGCATAGAGTCACTGGCCAAAGGCGTTAACATCCCATTATGTCATTGGCCGAAAACTGCCAGCTACCTTTGTAGAGAGGAAAGTCCCTGTCAACACAATTTGAATTTTCAGATTATTACCTTCCATTCCAGGTAACAGTTGACTCCCAGTTATTTCCAGCATTTTGTTTGCTTTGTCCTGTAATTTTACCTAAAACAATATTATTTTCCTCTCCTATGTATCTATTAAAGTCTGAAGACAAGAATCAGAAAAAATGGACTAGGGATTAGTTTGGGGCTGTTTCTGCATCCACATGGCTTACGGTAAATTACTTAATAAAACAGACTGTTTCCTCATCTCCTTTATCCATATGAGGATTTTATTCCCTGTCCGTGTGTGACCTGTGCACATATTAGATCTTAAACTGGCTTGCCCTGCCTGACATAGGTAATTAAGAGCTAAAATTGACTTCAATGGAGACTGAAGGAAGCAAAATGTAAGTATGGAGATTCAATTAATTTGATGCATTACAGATACAGACAAAACTCCTTTTGTCCAGAATCCAAGTAAAACTAAAGTTTAAAGTGCTAAAAAAATCATGCAGCCCTGTTTGTTAATAATTGATGTTCTACTAGAATACAAGCTCCTTGGGAGCCACTATGCCTAACCCACTTTTTTTTTTTCTTTCAATTTTAAGTTCCGGGGTACATGTGCAGGATGTGCAGGTTTGTTACATAGGTAAACATGTGCCATGGTGGCTTACTGCACAGGTCATCCCATCACCCAGGTGTTAAGCCCAGCATCCATTAGCTGTTCTTCCTGATGCTCTCCCTCCCCCATCCCCCAACAGGTGTCCAGTGTGTGTTGTTCCCTGCCATGCATCCATGTGTTCTCACCAATCAGCTCCCCCTTATAAGTGTGAACATGCAGTAGTTAACCTCCTTTTTCTATACGGTTTTGTACACAGCCTTCCAGACAATTTTGTGCTGAAATATATTGCTTTGTTTTGTTTTGGTTATTGTTTGTATGTTCTGAATGCCTTCTGAATATCCACTGAAAAATTAATTCCCTTCTGGAGCGTGAAGTACACTGAATTATACACTGATTCCTTGAAACCTGATAATCTCATCATCATACCACATAATCCTCTTTCAATCAGCATATTCAATTAATGCACTATCTCATTTCTCAAATATGCTAAGTTATATCTAATCTCTTAGAACTGGACACTACATTAGAGATTAAATTCAACCTGTTCACTTTAAAGATGAGAAAAATAGAGATGAATGAGCTGACAAAGTCACACATAAGTAATTAAGGACTTGCACTGTTAAGTTAGATAGATGTAGATTAGAAGGTAAACATCACCATTTCTTCCTGATTTTTGGCAAACCATGTATGTCTCTAAGATTGTTTCTTAGCTGTAATATGAGGATAAAGCAATTAAACTTTATAATTATTGTAAGAAAAAATGAAATAATTCCCATAACATATTCAGCATCGTGCCTGGCATACAATTAATATTTTTAAAAACTATTATTTTTATAAATGAAAAACATTATTTGTAAGACTACAAGCAGTGATTTCAGTCTTAGGACTTCCATAGAGAGCTGGGTGTCCCATCATTAGAGCTCACCTGCAAAGCTTCCGTGCCCAGAGCCCTCCTCTCCCACCTGACAGGAAGCAAAGGGAAGCTCCGTCTTTCCGTGTTGGTTAATTGTGGCCCCGGAGGTTACCATGACTTAGGAACAACTGGACATGGGGTCGTATTTTGTGTGCTGGGTCTCCAGTGGGTCTCAGAGAACTCAGAGGAGTGACTCTTCCCCTAAAACCTTCTTGAGAGACAGACTTGTGTCAACCTGCCCCAAACACTGGCTTTACTTCCTGATCTCAGAAGGGTAAGATACACAGGTGTGTGTCTCTCCTCAGATTGTGGAGTTACTTTGCGCCTTCCAGGGACCCTTCCCTTTATGTTTATGGCCTAATGGGGTTGAAGGTGCCATAGTAGACTCTGGTAGAGATTGGGTTGTGTTTGTTACCCTGATTTTCCTCAAAAACTCTTTCGTGGGCTGAAAGGTGTGCTTAAGCTCACCTAAAGCACACACATGGATACACATTCCTGGAGCAGGTGACTTGATGGAGAGCAAGGAATTGATGGAAAGAGCACATAAGGGATCCACGTTCTATGCACCTAGGCAGGGAGGCAGGCTGGTTGCCTTGGGCTGGGAGAAGAGGCCATAAAAAGGAGGGAGCTAGTAAGGAGGTAAAGGGGAAACTCAAAGGGGCTCAGACATCGGCTGGTTATGTTTTAAACCACTTATCTCAGGTGCAGCAAAATAATACCCTCAGTCCAACTCCGAGATTTAAAAAACAAAAATTAGGCTGGGTGCAGTGGCTCATGCCTGTAATCCTGCCCTTTGGGAGGCCAAGGCCGGCGGATCATGAGGTCAGGAGATCGAGACCATCCTGGCCAACATGGTGAAACCCTGTCTCTACTAAAAATACAAAAAAAAAAAAAAAAAAAAAAATTAGCTGGGTGTGGTGGTGTGTGCCTGTAGTCCCAGTTACTCAGGAGGCTGAGGCAGGAGAATAGCTTGAATCCAGGAGATGGAGGTTGCAGTGAGCCAAGATGGCGCCATTGCACTCCAGCTTGGGCAACAGAGCGAGACTCCGTCTCAAAAAAAAAAAAATGCCCGGCGTGGTGGCTCACGCCTGTAATCCCAGCACTTTGGGAGGCTGAGGTGGGGGGATCACGAGATCAGGAGATCGAGACCATCCTGGCTAACACGGTGAAATCTCGTCTCTACTAAAAATACAAAAAATTAGCCGGGCGTGGTGGCGGTTGCCTGTAGTCCCAGCTACTTGGGAGGCTGAGGCAGGAGAATGGCCTGAACCTGGGAGGCGGAGCTTGCAGTGAGCCAAGATCGCGCCACTGCACTCCAGCCTGGGCGACAGAGCAAGACTCCGTCTCAAAAAAAAAAAAAAAAAAAAAAAAAAAAAAAAAAAAAAAAAAAAAAAAAAATTGCTACACTCACAGTATCCCAGGTTGCACTCAGAAAGTAACAGCTCCCTCCCAATAGTGATTAGCTTAGGGGTGTACTGGGGTGAGGAGCAGGTGCAGGACCCCATAGCAGAGTTGAGCAGGGAGGTGCTGGGTGCAACCCAGGTTGTCATAATGATGCTGCCCTTGTTCACACTTGAAATGTTTTCAAAGGGCCTCCAGGCCCCGGCCAGCTGTCTGCTGTCATCCCCCACACATTCTGAGGCAGCTCCCTTTCCCCTCAACACATAGAACAGAGATGATGCCATGCTTCCTATAGGTGACCATCTGATGCTCACTGGAATCTCCATGAGCCCCCAAAGTGTCAGGTAACACAGCTGCAACCTCCTTGAATGAGGCCATTACTTTGCTGGTCTCCTCTGGTATTTAATGAACATAGGACCTGGTAAAATCGTGCCTCAGTTTTTCCTCTGGGTCACATGGTCTCGTGGTAGCTCCCCTCCCTCTGCTGGGGAGGGCAGAGGCTCCCTCCACAGGTGTGTGCCAGCACCTCGTACTTACCCAGCTCAGTCTGGAGTTTCTCTGGAAAAAGAACAAGAATAACATATTAAGGAATTTGGTGTAAGGGAAAGGAGAGAAACTATTTTTTAAAAAAGAAAGCAATTTATACATTATATAGGGAAGCTCAATTCATTAAAAAAATGAAATGCAGAAAAATACTGATTCTTTCCCACAGATTACCCAATGATACAGCTTTTTTTCCTTTTCTCTGCACAACAAAAATGCTGTCACTTCTATCTCCCCATGATTCTGTTGGTTTCTTCTGATATTTACAGCATAAATACTTAGCTATCAGCATGAAAATAACATATGTTCCTTTTATAGATACACAGAAAGTACAAAATTATATGGACATAAACAGTATCACCTAAATTACAAAGTAGAGAGACGAATTATATGTAATATACAATCAGCTTCATTTAAAATTAAAATGTAACATTAACTTTAAAGTTTTTTTAATCTATCCATTTATATGAATAACTGTATACTTATATCCAAATGTGGAGGGTATCCTGAAAGTTTTAGTGCAGTTATAAGTTATTTAAGGCCAGTAACTTTTATGTGATTGGAAATGTCAATTTATAGGTAGATGTCATGTTTATCATTGAATAGTGCATCATGAGGATTTTTTTCAACCATTAAAATTATTTAAAAATATCTTTTTATTAATGCTATAATGTATAGTAAGACAAGATTCCACACTGTACTGTTGTATTGGGGGGTTGGTTGTTTTTGCTGCTATTTATAAATAAGGCCATAATTAATATTCTATTATGCAAATAGTTGTCTACATCTCTGATTATCTTCATATGATAGATTTCTAGAAGTAATCAGCACAAGACAGCATAGGAAAACATTTCAGTTGAAGAAATATAGCTTTATTTTCTTTACAATGCAATGAATACTTGTGAGTAAAAACAATCAATGCAGAAGAAGGAAAGGTAGAACTCAAAAATAACGCAGGCGCCATAACAGCTATTCAAGTAAAATGTAGTGCGTATATTTCCAGTCATAAATGTTTTATGGCTTTCAATACATATTGCTATATGATAGACAATGTCTCTTGATAAAAATACGAGGTGCTATGGTGCAGTCCCTGGGACCTCTCCTGCTGATCTGAGCGTGTGGGTCCTAGAGGCAGAGCACTGACCTGGGAGGCTGATGACCGACCCCTTCTCCTCAGTGAGGACGGGGTTGTGGACCAAGCAGGACACAGACTCTGCAGAGGCGTTCCTGACCACCAGGGTGGCTTCCGCATAGAACAGGCCATCTTCATCTTGGATGCGATGCTCAGACACGGCCAGCAGCTTCTCTCCCCGGATGTCTTCCCAATACACCTGGGGCTCTGGGAACCAGCCCCTTGCAGTGCACACAAGCTGGACTCCACTCTCCCCAGGTCCCTCCATGTGGATGCTAGGGGCAGACCCCAGACCTGCAGAGGGAAGCCACAGCTCTGACACCCAGAGCCCACAGAGGCAGAAATCACAGAGGCTGAGATCCCAGTGACGTTGCTCACAGGGAGGTGGCCGGAGTTCAGGAGTCTGAGGAGCAGAAAGTCGACCTCAGTCTCCCCATTCAAATGTGAGTTCAGATACACTTTATTTGTTCCCCAGTCTGCGTCTTTACATTTTAGCATCTGACCAGTACTTTTCTCCAGATCCAGAAAGGGGAATCGGAGAAGGGGGACATCATGACATTTTGCAACGCTTCTAGCACTGCAAACAGAGATGAGCTGTAATTTATTCATTAATTCCTCTGTGCCATGAACTCTGCCTTTTTCATCTTAAAATTATCTGTATTGGGCACATTGTCTGGTATTTTAGATGATGTCTTGAACTCCAATTTGATTGAAGATTTAACACAAAGTCAGAAATCACTCCCCAGGGGCCTGTTCTTCCTGCATCTTTTGCTGGTGGCTGTGATCTTCGGAAGCAAGTGGATAAACGGGAGCATGTGAAATGCGAATCTCCACGAGGCGTTATTTGTAGCTAAATATTCTATTCAATGGGTAAGATGGTTTTGAGAAATCCTAGTTTACAACAGTTTATGAAATCATGGATTTTTTTTCTCTATTTAACGTGAAACTCCCACACCCAAACTAAGGGGACTATATTTTCCATAAATGGGAATTCTGTCTTAATCACTTGCTGGTAAAAGAGAGATCCACTCCCTTCCCTTGGACCCTTAGAAAATGTGTGACTTATTTGTAAATGTTCCTGATATTGAAATACATCAGTACGTTCCCTGTCCCCCCATGTCAGAAATATATGTATTCCTCCATCCATTTTGAATCACCTTGAACACAGTAACAGTAATGGATGTTAAGAAAAAAAAAGGTATTAGGAAACAGCCTCCCAGGGAAGTAAAGAAGGAAGCAGTATCAGCTGGAGACGTTAACATCTCCAGAGAACTATTTTCCCCATTTGCCTTAGTAATTGGATTTACTTGATTTTCTCTTTAGAGCATGGAGAAGTTAGCCCTGTCAGGGAATCATATGATAGTTTACTTTTCATAAGACAGATCCATTCTTCAGTTGTCCCCTTCTTCCCTACTCCTTCCTGCTTAGCTAATACAACAGCAATATGAAGAACCTTCCCATTCACAGAGGGTGTGTCCAAAAGCATCTGTGAGTCCCCAATTCATTGAACACTAGTATATAACAATCTCCAAAGCACGACATTCTTAGCCTTTTCAGTCTTGTTGATAGCTTTCTAACTGAGGGCATTTCACAAGGAAAGAACATTTTCACGTCTCAGTTTCTGCATAGATGGGATTGGGTAGAGAAAAACCAATGCCCTGAGATACAGATGCCGGACGTCAGCTGGGCTCATTCATGCAGCAATTGGTTTGCTCTTGCGCACCAGCCTTAGGTAGCACAAATGTGTGTCTCAGCAAAATTGCTAAAGACTGCATGTCATGGATTCCAAATAATCCTCAAGAACAGTCAAAACTGTGCAAATTAAATTTGGGAAAATATTTTAACACTAAGCTTGAAGACTCCAGAACCACTTATTTTTAAATCAATCAGGGTAGAGGACTAAGCATTAGGAATTACCTTGATGATTCAAAAGGATTTCCTCAACTGTCACAAAGCTTACCACAAATTAATATATCTCTGCCTCTTGAGACCCTGTGTCTTTCCCCAGATATTCACCTGCTACTTTGAGCAGCAAGCTTGTTTCTCCACAGTAGTTCCCATCCTGGAAATGGCACCAGTATTGTCCATTGTCGGAGGGCTGGATGTTGTGTATCTTCAGTGCCACATTTCCCTTTGCAATGCCATTCTCTATCCACTCTACCCAGCCTCTGTACTCCTCCATCTGCATCTCAGTCACCTCCACTCCATCCCTGTGCACAAACACAGGTGTGCTGGGCTCTGAGCGGTACCACCTCACCTCCACGTGCATTGTGGTCCTCTTGGGGAGTAGCTGGCAGGTTAACAGGGCATCTTCCCCAACCCCGGCCAGGATAGGATGAGCAGGGCCAATGACTCTAAAGTCTTCTATAAAATAAGTGAAAAAGAGGAACGAGGAAATGCCAATCAGAAAATCATATGCATGCTTTGGGGTGTCCAGCCTGTCAAAATGGAGGCAACTAGAAGAGGGAGAGATATATGTTTAATGTTTTAGAGAAATCCAGCATGATGATTTGCACATCTGTTTGTTACAGAGTCAATTTTGTGTACTGAAAACAAATGCAGTTCAAAAATGTGGGTGAGGTTGCTGTCTGTCACCTACCAGCTATGTGATTCGGTGGCAAATCTATTACTCTTGGTAAGATTTTGAGATTTGAAGTCCTAATTTCTTCATCTTCAAGATATTAATACCAGCATACCTGGGTTGTTTTTATTCTCAAGTAAATTATTTATTCCTTGAGTCATTTATTCTCATGTAAATTGACTTTTTAAATTGGAAACCTTATTCTTGTTATTAACATTTTATTTTCCTGAAGTTTAGATAATAAATCCATTTATTAGCTTTTTTAGCCTTTCAGGATTCCTCTTCTCTTAGATATAAAAACTGTTTTTTTTGTTTTTTTGTTTTTTTGTTTGTTTTTTTCCCGTCTGGAGTTGGCAGGAGGCCAATTACTGGGACTATGTACAATGCAGTTTTCACAAGGACATTTTGTGCTGGATTAATGACACTGGTTTGTCTAGAGATTTTTGGGTCTTCCAAACAAATTCTAAGACATGTCTGATCTCTTCCTTGTTATCTGCAAATTGAAGAGATGTTTAACAGTTAGGTATGTTATTATGTTTGATCATTTTATGTCATGTATGATATGTTCTTTCTCATTCTAAATGCTCCGGGGCCATTTGCTCTTTCTCTGTGCAGATCCAATCCTGCTAGGAAGAACCTCACCCTACTTAGCTGCTGCTGGGTATCAAATAGATGCTGCTCAAAAGGTGGCTAAAGAGCCTAAGTGGAGATCTGCTTGTATTCTTCATTGATGAAGTCTAAATATGAAGCTAGAACTGAAGACATTCCATCAGATTGACTGTTACAGGGTAGGGAGCTGCAGCACAAGCACAGAGAAGCCAGCAGCTTCATCACATCACACCAGCTCTGCAGGGCCAAGGCAGACACACCAGCTCTGCGGCACCGAGGCAGACACACCAGCTCTGCGGTGCCGAGGCAGAGCCTGCGCCCTCTGATGCTCTGTGTCGTGTTTTTTCCCACTTCGCCATGCTGCATTTTCCTTAGGGCTCTGACATCTCCTTCTGACACTGATTTTTTTTTTTGACACTGAATTTTTAAATAATTATTTTTCAAGGTGCAACATTTTGACGTCAAAATTCAGCTAGTGAGATTTCCAAAGTCCCTTTCTTCTAATTTCTTATTTCCAAGTATTTTTTTTAATTGCAGCTTAATTTATGATAAGAAGCAGCTGCATTTCTTGACCCCAAAGTACTAGAGTGAATTAATAATTTAACGTGGTGCAACCACTGATTCAAGTGCTTTTAATGTCTCATTTAATCCTAAAGCCTGTGCTGGCCTCTGAGATGTAGTTACTGCTGTTATTCTCATTAAAAAGATGAAAGAACTAAGGTATGAGGTGCTCTAGTAACTTTCCAAAGGTGACTCAGCTAGGAGTGGAGGAGCTCCTGGGAGTGGAGGAGCTCCTCAAAAGTGAGGAGTTCCTTTTTGGATACAGGTGGCTTGGCCCCAGACTTACACTCTTAGATGTTGTTCTCGACCTTTGGACCCAGACTAGCTCACTGGGACATTAGACTATACAGTAAAGGGAGAAGGGAATCCTACCTGACTGCTTCATTGTCAGCAGGATGAATAGGAAGGAGGCGACTGCACCAGACAGATTGTAGCCTGGAAAATCCACCATCCTCCCTGGAACAAAGACAAGGAAACGCTGTGCCTAAGTGAGGCTGTGACACACCCGGCACACTCCATGGCTTCCATTGGTTATGCAGTCTTAGCAGAGAATCCACATCAACCCCTGCACAGTCAGTGAAATGGGCTTGGCTCCATTTCTCTGCAATTACTGATCACATCCAACCCTTTACCTAACGTGTTATATTGTGAGACAATGTAGCAAATGTAAGAAGCCTTGCTTGCTCATTTCGGCTTGCTAGCATACTTTCACAAAGCCCCTGCTGTGATGACCTGCAGTTCTCCAGAAAGATGCTTCAAAGACAAAACAAGATTGAGCACACGGCCTCCCATCTCTCTTGCCTGAGTCACTCTACTCCTTAAAAGATAAGGAATAATAGTCCTTGCCTTTTCCTACACATAAGATAACGTCTGATTGAAGAATACCTCTGTAACCTATAACCCGATCTGCTCATACACCCATACATTGATGTAGTTCGGCTTCAATGTAGCTTCTGAGCTAATTTGATGTAGTGATTAATATGTAACCTCCTGACATCGAAAAGGATATGGATTTGTTTCTGAATCATAAAGTTTTACTGATTGTTTTGTGCATGAAATATTTTAGTCTATATATTGTCATCTGTGTCCAATGATTGTAACCTCTGTATTGTACCCTCCAGTGAAAAAAGACAACTCCAATATGAAGAGCCCCTTTCTTTCTGCCTGAACTTCCTTACAAAAGCCTTCCAACTTGTAAGACTTTGGACCACCCTCAACTTCGTTGGTGTGTCTTCCTACATCAATCCTGACATTTGCCTTCCAATAGAACTTTATGAAATTATTCCTGCCTCAACAACCCTAATTTCATGAGACAATATTTTAAGCAATTTTTTAGGTGTAAGGAAGTCTTGTGACTGAAATGAAAAAACACTTGAGGTAAAGGAACAATAATATTAAAAAAACCCCAAACCAAACCAAAGCAAACAAAACTCCTTAGGTTCATCTGTTGTGAGCTTGCAAAACTTATAGAGCAAGATTCAAATATTTTTTCCTGTCCTCCTCCCAACTCCTCCTGCAAAGCCTTTCTTTACCACTGTTTTCTACACATGGAGGAAAGGGCAGGAAGGCTCTGCGTCTCCACACTGCAGCCAGAAAGCCAACATTCAGTGCTAGCGCTCAGAGAACCCGGGACACAGAGATGCCGTGGAAAGTGAAAGAAAGAGTAGTAGAAAGATAGTCGGGAAAATATCTGTAAGTGGCCTTTTAGAATAGACTTAAAAACATGAATGAATTAAAAAAACAAAAAGCCCAACTGGCAGAAACTGGCAAACCCAGCAACCCCACTGTCCCAGCTGAACAAAAATACTTCACACAGCTAAAAACTTTAAAACTTACCAGGACAAGGATAGAAGGCTAGTTTTACCATTGAAAAATACAAACTTCAGAGTGAAAGAAGTCTAAGACTTATTATATGTGATGTGTCAAGTATTTTATTGAAAGAAAACTTGCTTCACACAAAGTAGAGAAACCAGCTCAGGAGCAATGTCAAGTCAATTACAGTTTCCCCCTTTCCAAGAAACTACTGCTAGTAAGATTTTATGGGACAGGGGTAAAAATCAACATTCTGAAATGGAGATTTAACAATCAAATGAGTCAGGAGATTGTTGTTACACAAATATTGCCCATTTGCTTTATAAAAAATATGTACTTTCATATAAGATATCTTTAAGGAAACTTATATGAGCCCATTCACAATACCTAGATCGAAAAGGGCAGTATGATATTTATGTGAAAATGGGGTTGGGTGTTAGAAGACAGTGCAGACCATGAGCACCTTGCCACCTGAAACTTACTAGTCACCTCCCCTTAGACTGAAGGGTGTTGCTGATGCCTCCCTGACTCCTTTTGTGAAAAGCAGGAACATTTTTTTCCACCAAGTAAGAGTAAAGAAAGCCCCACAACATCCATACCAAGCATGATTTCTCAGCCGTGTGAACTAAAATGAACTCACACTTGCTACAGACCACTTCAGAGGCTTGTGTTCCTGTAGGTCTTTCATGTCAAAGCGGTGGGAGGGAAAATCTACAAGTGAACTCTCAAAAAAATTGCTCAAATCAATGAAGCTTTCGAAGAATGTTGGGAGAATCCATCTCCAGTGCTCAGATAGATTGTGAGAGAATATATCAGGGAGGATAACCACCTTGGACCAGGGTTCTTAATGGGGAAAGAGGCTGTTTTGCCCTTAGAGGACATTTGGCAATGTCTGGGAACATTTTCAGTTGTCACGACTGGGGGAGGGGACATATATTGAGTAGAAACCAGGGGTGTTGCTAAACATTCTATGAGGCACGTGGCAGCCCCCACAACAAAGAGTCATCCAGCCCAGAAGGCCGGTGGTGCCGAGGAAATGCCCTGCCACAGGGTTTGCTGTCAGGATGCTGAAAAGCTTTGGCACATTTTTTGAAAATAGATAACTAGACTTAAATTGCCATCTTTAAGTAAAAACCTTTTAAAAAGATAAGCTTTTGACCCCTCCGTTTTACTATTTGGATGTAATGCAAGAATCTTCTGAAACTGTTGTTCCTATTAAATATAGTAAATTTTGGTGTTGTCAAGATATATGATCTAATATGCAAATGTATCATCGAATTCTCAAAAACCCATGTTTAATTTAATTTAATTTTCTGGATAAAGTATAAGTGTTAAATTGTAATAATAAGTGGTAGCTTATGTTTAGGCATTAGATGATGAACAATTCTGAATTTCAAGGCCTATCCTGCACTGCTAAAACTCATATCAAAGAAAATTGCAAATTACTACGTATCATGGGTCATTAGAACTTTTTTCAGTAAAAGCCTCAAATGTTGCTCCTCAAAATGCCAAGCAGCCATAGTAACTGACTGGTAAGAATAAATTAACTTAGTTCACGAAGTCGAAAGCTTATGTATCTATGTAGACATTAAAAACAGCTATAGTTTATCATATGTTAATACATTTTTATAGAGAAAGCTAAAATAAGATTTCTAGGAGACAAAGTGAATTGGGTTTTTGTGTGTGTGTGTGTGTGTGACCTTGGACATCTTTCTTTACTTTCTTGAGCCTGTATTTTCTCTGCTGTGTGGTGGAGACAATCATCCTAACGTTTTCCAAGCTGTGTCATGACCATGTGACAGAAGAAGACGTTAAGGCTCAGGGACACATGCCCCACATCATCCATGACAAATGAAAATGTGATCCTGGTTTTCTTGTTTATAATTTCGTGCTTCTTCCTCACTCAGCCTGCTTCACGAGAACACTGTGAGGGTCAAATGGGCTACGATCGCACTTTGAAGACTGCACAGTGGGATATAAATATAAGTGGGAGGCAGTGTAACAGGTGGCAGCATTTCCCTAAAGGACATTGATTCCGTCCGTATGTCCTACTCTGTAATCTGAGACAATGTCCCCAGCTTCCCGTGGCCATCCTTCACCAGGGAATCCAAACCACTCACGTGTCTCCCTCTCTCCTTTGGGGCGAAACCTGGTGCTACTGGGTCTTCTCACTTGGCCCCAGATGTATCTTCATCCACATAGCAGGTGGTCAGAAACAGGTCAGAGCCCTGGGGTGTGCTGATCAAAGACACACCAGAGAGCCAGAGAGTGTGGGAGAGCCAGAGAGTGTGGAGGCCTCCTCCAGGACTTTGGGTGAAGGAGGATTTAAGCCGTCTCACCCCAGTTGAAGGCAGAGCCAAATCCCGGAGGCCCTGTGAAAATGAGATTGCATTCCGAAAATCAGAATAGCACATTCACCTCCTAACAGCTATAATCCTTTCAACAGTGAAACTCCGGGGACAAGTGGACTTTGGCTGGGTTCAGTTGTGAATTCTGCAGACGTGCACACAAAATCATGACACTGGCAATTCTCACCTTCCCCAGAAAGCCAAGGCCTTCATGGAGGCCTCATCTGCAACCCCCCAGTTAGGTCCTCACACAGACCCCACCGTCCCACACATCAGCGGGTGCCATCCACCCTTCCCTCCACCTTGCCACACATCAAAGATTCCCAACTAGTGCCAAGTCTCCACCAGAGCATGGCACTCATCGGGCTGGAGTTGGAAGCAAAACTGAATATCAAACGTGCCATCCCTCATTCCACTGATGAGAAAACAGAGACCCAGAGAAAGGAACTGCCCTCTCCAGGATCAGAGCTCTGGGCCAAGGTCCCTTGTGGGCTACTTTATTGCTCTTTTTACTCAGGTACTTTATCTCCCTTTGCTGAGTAATAAAAGGTTTAATTACTCTCAGATGTTTACCAAAGAAATGTAATAACCTTCTCAGCATAATATTTGGGCATGAAGAGTATAATGATAGGCATATTTTGTGTGTGTTTTTGTTTCTGCCAGATTTTCCTTTACGTTCCCCTTAAGTCTGTGTTCCTTGAGCTAGAGGGGGTCTCAGATATAGTCTCAGGATTTCAAGAGTTCTCCAGAACAATTTTTAATTTAATTGCAGATTTTCATGTCAATGTAATAATAAAAGCATATGCAGCATTATGATGTTACAAGGTTTGAGCCGATTTTTTCCTTAAGTTTCTTTCCCTCCCGTTATGAGCAGCCCATAATTGGGTCCCCTGACTTACGGTTACGATTCTTAATGTAAGGGTTTCCCCCTCCATCCTTCAGTCTAGACAAAGACCCTCCCCTCACTGTAGAGGATGAGAGATTTGGAGAGAAGAGAAACAATTAAACATGGACGAGGATAGGAGGGTCTCTTTACCCTGGTTCTCTCTCAATTGGAGTAGAGGGGAATGAACCCCACTTCACCTCCGGTTCCCAGAATGGTAGCGATGCCCACAGATGTCCCTCTCAGAGTGGCAGCAAAGGAAAAGTTCTCCAAGGCAAGAAGTGGCAGACTCTGGAAGGCTCCAACAGTGGGATGAAAGTT
The DNA here is from genome assembly GCF_000001405.40 of Homo sapiens. Taxonomy (NCBI): domain Eukaryota; kingdom Metazoa; phylum Chordata; class Mammalia; order Primates; family Hominidae; genus Homo; species Homo sapiens. The sequence continues at coordinate 3,717,054 of NT_167246.2, forward strand.
TGCTGCCTAAAATGCTGGGATGGAATGTTCCAGCAAGAGGAGAGTGGCATCAAGGACATAACAGTGATCGTCACCACTGTGGGAAGGACAGTGACGACCAGGAAACACGATGGGATAGTGACATATTGTGGGAGCTGATGATGCAAATGTGAGGAGAGACTTCTACACCAGCCCTGCACCACCTCCCACCTCAGAACTTAGAAATCACACGGCGGGTGAAGAAGAGGCTGCTATTAAATTAATTGTGTGAAAGCCACTGAATTTATCTGGAAATTACCAGATGAACTCCTCTGTCAGAAGACATAATAATGCTTGGCATACAAATTAAAATCCGTAATAGGAAAATATAGAAATTTACTTTATACACCTGAATGTGTGAAAAGATGCCGCTCATTGCATGCATTCTGTAGTATCATCTCTATGGTACCAAATGCTGGAATTATTTGAATTTTTTATGGTCAGTCACATCAGCGCCAACTCACCGCGTAAAGAAGCTCCGTTTACACTCGCGTGTGTGTGTTCTCACAAATCATCTGCATACACTTTCTCAGAGGTCTGCCTGTGCTGAGAACTGTGTCCTAAATTATGCTACATATTATGGGAGGCCATTTTGTGCAGGAAGATGTTGGTGTGTGGGAGAGAAAAAAAGGAGTCACAATCTCTGCCATTCTGACTAGAGTCCACCTCCAGGAGAAGCGGGAAAACAAGGCATAAGCTGCTAGAACTGAGGAGAGGGAAAAACAAGCATCCGGCGAGGGCAGGAGGAACAGGAGAGGGGAGTCATGGATCTGCCTGGCCACCAGAGGGCAGCAGAGACGGGCTCACTGTCGGCTTCAAGGATGTTCCGCAAGTCGATTCACTTACAGACTCTTCTTCAAATGCGGCGGTCACCTGTGACCCACATTCATAACTCCCTCAGCCACTAGACGACAAAAGAAGCCCTGAGTTTAGGCTGACTGAGATTTTCATTCTAGCTTTGCTATACATTTGGGCAAGCTTTACTTTGGGTAAGTCTGTTCTTTCCAGGGGTCTCAATTTTCTTAGTTTTTACACAGGGATAGTATGTGGGTGGCTCACATTAAAGTATCGTTGTAAGGATAAAGTAAGAATATAATCATGATACAAAATCCCTATATAGCTATTAGGTGTCATTACTGGGAATGGAAGGTCTTGGAAAGAAGGTGGATAGAAAAATAGAGGAGATTAGAAATGAAGATAAGAAATCAAGGTCAATCCAAGAAATGTCAGGAAAGTGTTGCTATGAATATGGAGAAGTTCAGGCGACGCCATCAGCTGTTTCTTGGGGACCTGGTTGAAAGATGTTTTGAGAGCTCTTTGATCAACTCACCAGAAAGATGATTACTTTGTGGAGTCTCCCAGCAGTGAGACTTATACAGGTATCGTTTCCTCAGGGAAAGGAAAGAAAAATCAGCAGCTCTCATCTCCTGGAGGCACAGTGGCTTGTCCTCCACAGTCCCCTCGGTTTGCTGACTGACTGGAGGAGAGAGAGCACCTGCAGAAGCCCTGCGACTCCTCCCCCAGATGTGAGTGGGGGGCCTGGGATTCCCGAGGCCAGTGAGGGGAGGGTGGTGCTCACAGGACGGAGGCCTTTCCTCACAGCGTGGCCACGGTTCAATCTGCACCTCTGGCCATTTTTCTTGATTGGCAAAAAGAAGGAAAGAAGGAAAGAAGAAAGGAAGAAAGGGAGGAAGGGAGGGAGGGGGGAGGAAGGAGGGAGGGAAAGAAAAGAAAAGAAAAAAGAAGAAAAGAAAGAAAAGAGAAGAAAGGAGGAAGGGCAGGCAGTAGAACTTCTGAATAGGAAAATGCCCAAACATTTAGGGATGGAGGACTGAGGTATTCTTAGTTCTGGCTGACCTACAGTCTAAGTTGAGCTCTTTACATACATGGCTGTCATATACTTTACAAAAAGTGTCTGACAAACCAGTTCCTCTAAAACTTTTAATTTTAAAAAATTTAGGTTGGGTGTGGTGGCTCACACCTGTAATTTCAGCACTTTGGGAGGCCGAGGCATGTGAATCACCTGAGGTCAGGAGTTTGAGACCAGCCTGGGCAACATGGTGAAACCCCGTTTTTACTAAAAATACAAAAATTAGCTGGGCGTGGTGGTGCACGCCTGTAATCCCAGCTACTCCAGAGGCTAAGGTAGGAGAATCACTTGAACCTGGGAGGCGGAGGTTGCAGTGAGCTGAAATTGCGCCATTGCACTCCAGCCTGGGCAACAGAGTGAGACTCTGTCTCAAAAAATAAATAAAATAAAATAAAATAAATTTTTACTTTTAAATTTACTTTTATGAAAGAGTTACAGAAGTTTAAGACAATCACAATGATCATCTATTATTTTTTGAAAATGATGAAATTACCTAAAATTGATTCTACTGCAGGTGGGAGCCTATAAGACTAAAGTTCCCAGGAAGAGATGTAAGCTTCGGTGAAACCCACCTCAGTTGACTCCAAAACTAATGCAGATGCCCCCTTGGGGAATTGCGGGGAGAGGGTGTACAGAATGTGTTAATACCATCACACTCCTCCCAGGACCCCAAAGAAGCTGCACTCACAGAGATATCCGGGCATGTCTCACACTGGAAATAGGGGACCCTTCCAAATATTGGGAGAAAGAAGGCAAAGAAAATCATACCGATATACTAAGCCTCCTGCATTTGCACCCATCCAGCCTGCCATTCATCCTGGGTTCTTTTACTTGGTCCTCTTGGGGCCTCTGAGAGGATCTCCATCTCTGCGAAGTGCATTCCCCACCGGGCTGTTGCAGTTCCACACATGGCCAGTAGATGACAGGTTTGTTCAAGAACCGCCTCCAAGATTTTACTACTGCACCGCGATTTCAGAGTGGCGGGAAGGACTGAGAGTCCCATTTAGAAACTTCCCAAATCTTAACTGCCAATATCTTTCTTTCTAAAATTGTGTTTTTGTATTTCGTGGTAAACTCAGTTCAAAGCCGCGGATGGGGGCAGGAATAGGAAAACTGCTGCTGCTGCTGAATATGCTTCTCTCTCTTAAAGGTCCCAGCAGAATTCTGCCACTGAACCACCCTGGGAGAATGCGGGGGAAAGAGAGGAGGAGAGAAGGACAGAGAGAGAGAGAGAGCCAGAGAGGATATGAGGGAGATAGGGAGAGAGGACTGCTTCATTGTCTTAAATTCGTTGTAATCACGTCGCAATACCAGGCACTCATTCTTAAGGTAGCAAAGCAGAAAATATTATAAGTTCAGTTATTAATGTCATTTGCACTTTTGAGAGTAGAGAACATAGGCACTAATATTATAATAATTCAATAACTATGAAGGAATCAAGACAATCTTCAGGGAGGATGTGGTGCATGGAATGGAATGTAAGGAATCGTTCATACTTCATGTAGGTTTAGCATTTCTTGATTACAAGCTAAATAAGGGGTGGATTACTCATGAGTTTTCCGGGAAGGTGGTGGGCAATTCCTGGACTAAGGGCTTCTCTCCTTTTTAGACCATATAGGGTAATTTTGGATGTTGCCATGGCATCTGTAAACTGTCATGGCGCTGGTGGGAGTGTCTTTTAGCATGCTAATACTTTATAATTAGCATATAATGAGCAGTGAGGATGACCAGAGGTCACTCTTGTGGCCATGTTGGTTTTGGTGGGTTTTGGCCCGTTTCTTAACTGCAACCTGTTTTATCAGCAAGGTCTTCATGACCTGTATCCTGTGCAGACCTCCTATCTCATCCTGTGACT